>NC_000010.11:7888787-8040303 GCF_000001405.40 Homo sapiens | reverse complement strand
TCCTCACCAGAGCTCGCCCCCCCAACAGCTCCCACCCTAACTGCTGCCCACTCCAGCCCCATTCCAAGTAAACAAGAAAAAAAAAATCAATTCCTGGTTCCTCTCCATGTTTATTGCTCTTTTTTATAAAAGTATGCATGTGTGTGTGTGTGTGTGTGTGTGTGTGTGTGTGTGTTATATATATATGTATATATATATCCTGGCTTTGTCTGTTAACACTGGCGGAATATGCATAGGTTTCCTCTAATTAGATCACAAGGGTGGGAGGGTGCTCCTAGACCCCACCCCACACCTAACCTCATCAACTTCCCTCCATTTTTGAGTTAGAGAGAAGAGGATACACATCTCATTTAATGGTTAATTAAGTCCAATAATTGGCATTTTTGTTTCTTTTGTCTTTTACCCTAACGCCGAAGGAACAAAAGCCACCTCAACGCAACAGGCTTTACTGGCTGCCTCTTACAGGATGGATTTCAGAATCCAAGGCTGTACGGGGAGTCCCCTCCCAACCACTGACAGCACCAGAATCTCCCGGCTTCAGGAAGTGGAAGGGGCAGGAGTCATTGGTAATTTGCTCTTTAAGCTTTTTGTGCCTGTTGATTACTTTCTGGTTGCTTGGATTAAACAATCGTTGCAAATATGCAAAACAGTGAGAGGAGATTCATACATATTCGTTCTCCAATTGTTCCTCCTGACGTCAGATCATAATTTCCTGGTAATTGGATGGCTTGCACCGACTAATGCTCTCGTCTGAAATTCTCCACCTTTCCCTAGCTTGCAGCAGATTTTGTACCGGGAGATGGGATGAGGACTTTTTTTTTAAGAATTATTTTCTGTTCACTGTAGTTCCCGTTGTCTCCCTTCTTCCCTATACTTAAGAACATTTATTCCTGAAGTGTGAGGATCTGGAGTTTATTTCCTGGGAGTGTCATTTCCCAGATAGTTCTTGAGTAGTTTGAAGAAGGTTGAAATGGGCCAGTAAAGATGGAGGAAATGGGTCTGGTAAGGGCAGAGGCAGAGGTGAGGTTCCATAGAGCAAAGCACCCTGCCTTCCCTCTGCTTGGGTCCAAAAGAGCAGCCTGGAGTGGTCACACCCGTCAGCCACGCAGTTTTCCTCCCCTGGGGTAACCTAGGTTTCTCATTTAAGTAACTCATGAGTTGAGTTCAAATCTCAACTCCTGACCCTGTCCTACACTCTCAAGCTAAGTAGGCAGCCAAATAATTATCGATTTATTTTTTTTTTAAAGCTTGAATCTTGATCAGAAAGATATTTCAGGTTTTAGGTGGTGGTAGAGGGAGACCCAGAAAATATCCCAGATTTTCTGGGATATTTTTTCCTTTGTCTTCCAGTTCGTTCTGGCCTCAGCACAGTGGACTTCAGACTTCAGATTGCAATTCTATATTCAATAATGTGTGACTTCCCTCTTCTTCCGCTCTCTTCTTTTCTCCCCTTCCCTCTCCCTTTTCCCCGATTCCTCTCTTCCGTCTCTGTATGACACATCGCTCCAAGAATTTCAAGTATCAATTATAAGTAATATTAATTTCTCAGCCCCAACCAGTGAAGTGCGGATGATCTGATAGGAGCATAAAAACGGTGCTTCCCTAGATGAAACAGACCAATGGAGCCTACTGGGCCGTTTCCCATGCCCAGATGAACATTCAATTTTCCGGCATTATCTCCGCACTTAAACTCGCTTTCTCCATTTCTGTGCCAAGATAAATTTGCATAATATTTGCAGCTGTAATTAGCTGATGAGCATCTCCCAGCCTCCCCCTTTTGTTTCCCCCTGCATTTGGTCTTCCATTGATGCTACGTTTGATCTTTAATATCACAGGATTCCCGATAGAGGATTGCATATCTTATCTTCCCGGCTCCAAAATCTTTTAAGAAGGAGAGAGAAAGGGAGAGAGGGGGCTTGGGGGAAAAGCGTGAGTGAAGAGAATGAAGCTTCTACTAATCAGAGTTTGGAAAGGTTACATTGGAAGAAGCTATGGGGAATGACAGAACAAATAAGATAAATGAAAAGGAGGGTGGAGTGGGGCTGGGAGAGGCTGGACCAGCCTTTTGGAATGAGAGAGACTGGGATAAGCATGTTATTATTTAGAGACTGCGGGAGTGGGGTTAAGGGCGATTGGGAGCAGGGACTGGACAGTGAACAGATGAGGGTGTGGGAAGTGGGGCTTGTCGCCAGCCTCAACTGCGGGACCAGCCTCCCTTTCCGGAGCAGCATAACTGCCACGCTCTGAGTGAGACGTCTCTGTCCTTTGCTCCCTTTAAGCAGAAACTGGAACTTTTGAAACCAGGTGACTACCTTATCTGCTCATCTGTTTGTCTCTCGTTAATAGAGAGCACAGCACTCCTGAATTCCTAATATGTTACGGACACTTTTCATTCTCTCTAGCCCAGTTAAAAGAAATAACCGCCCACCCGCCCCCCCCCCCAAAAAAAAGTAGGAGAAGAGAAAAAGAAAAACGATACAAGGAACTGAAGAAGAGGAGGCAGCGAGTAGGTGGCAGATGAATGGTGTCGCCTCCAGGAGTGGAGCAAAACCAGAAGAGGTTCCCCCCATTGCCCCTTCCCCGCGGCCCCGGCCCCGGCCGGATTGTCACTGTTGTTTTCTTATTTTTCTCCAGATCGGGAGTTTTTCGGACTTGGGTGGCGCCTGGTAGGAGGGGAAGGCGCAGTGGAGGGGCCACTGGTTGGATTAGTATTTGTGGGAATCCGGAGGGGGAGAGGGAGAAAGGAAAGGAAAGAGGGAGAAGGAGGAAAAAAAGAAGACAAGAAAGAGTCGATTTTCATGCCAATCATTGGAACAAATAGCTAACATTTAACGTTTACACCCGCACTGGCGGCGCCCTGGCGCTCCGCGGACCCGGAGCCGGGCTAAAATGTCCCGAAAGCCTTTGGAGAAAACGAGTTTCCAGCTATCAGGTTCTCCCCGTCTCCCCCCTTTCAAGAGGCTTCGGTTTCAGGCTGGACTTGTCCAATGTCTACGTTACCGCTGCGAGCTCCTAAATGAGTGTCAAGGAGGCAAATATCAAATAGCGCCGGGGTCAGGGCGATTGAGTTAACCATTGGGGCCTCAAGACTGGAAACCTGTGTGAGACTCCTCGGGGAAGGGGAGGCGTCGGAGGGAGGGCGAAGGAATAAATGAATGAATGAATAAAGTGGCAGAGGGGAGCGCTGGACACCCGGAGAAGAGGGCCCAGGCTAAGCTGGCCTCAGCCCCAAGCCAGCCCCCTCCTCCAGTCCTGGCCCCTCCCTGGGCAAACTTAAGGCTCTCAGTCTGAGAAAAGTTTCCTTAAAACTTTTTTTGCTGTCTTTTAAATAGGACCAATTTTCCCAACCGAAGTTTAGAAAATTGGGCTCTAACCTCGTCCCTGTCAATGGGTGGTTAGTAATTTCGTCATCTCCAGGCTTCAGTTTCCCCATCTGCTAATGGAGAGAATTGGACAAGAAGATGGCGAGGTCTCTTCCTTTTGGGAAAAAGAGCAGGCTGTGGGCTTTGGCAGGAAATAGGGAGTGCGGGTTCTGCTGCCCCGACCCCTGTCACCCCGGGCACCTGGTGCCACCCCTAGCCTGGCCCTCGGGGGCTGGCCAGAAACCCGGGCAGAGAGAGCCGCTGAGCTTCCCCACCTCCAGCTGAACCCCAGTGCTCAGCAGATGGGACCCAGTGGTTATCCCGGGGTCACCCCCCAGGGAGGCCCCCTTTCCCCTATTCCAGCAGACCCAGGTACTTTTGCGTCCCTTCCAGGGTCTTGTGCTTCTCAAGTATTTCCAAGAGAACCATCTCTCTCTTTTTGGGGGGCTGGAAAAGGGGGAGACCCTCTCTTGGGGTGGGTGGGGGGGAAGCGGATTGAGGTTTATGTCAAAATTCCTGACTCAAGCGCCGGAGCGGAAGTCCAAGCGGACTCAGCCGAGCGGAGGGGGTCACTGAGCCGCACCACAGGCGTGTTTGAAATCGATTAACTAAAGCCCGCTTCTTCGCGCTGTAAGGTCTTCTTTTTTTTCTTTATTGTTGAGACCCCCATGTCACGTGTGCAAAGTCTGCGTGCTTGGGCGTGTGTGTTGGCTGGGGGGGCAGTTGTGTTACAACCTGGGGGAGGGGTGTGCACCAGGTTCGATTTATTTCCCCAGCGCTGAGCGGAACATCGAGACAACCAAGGCAGGGGACAGCCTACAGGATTTGCTGCCAAGGCGGCTGCTGAGTCCTCCGGGCCCAGGACCGGCCCCTCACTGTCCTTCCTCACCCCCTCTCCCCGCACCTTCCGCGCCCCCGGGGCGCAGCTCTAGGCCCCTTTAGGGCCGAGCAACGGGCGCGTGCCCCGCAGTTGGGTGCCGGGGAGGAGACGGGCAGCGGAACAGGGGTCCCCCCGGGAGGCAGGAGGGACCTCAGGGAGGGACCGAGACGGGCGCAAGAGCGAGGTGCCCAGACGTGCTGGGCTGGGGTGGGGACTCCTGTGTCCTTAAATACCCCTCCTTTTTGTGATCCCTTCCCTCCCTCAGTGTAATTCTCAATGATAGTCATGAAGAATAATCACGATGATACTTTCCCCGTCTTTCTCAAATGAAAAAAAGAGAGAGAGGAAAAAAAATACGCACCCAACTCCACTACCATGCGGGTTCCGGAGAAATTCTCAAATAGAGCAGTGTAATTTCTCAGTTGATTTTGATTGACACACTGTCCCTGGGATCATGTGTTAATCCCTTCTTCACTCAAGCCTTTTCATAACTCATTTCTCTCTTGCTAGATGGGGACTCTGATGGTTACCGAGGCAACGATGATAGCACTAAGCTATTTCCCTCTCTGCAAGGAGACCATTATTCCGCATGCATAGGCCATTTGCAACAGAGGTCGTCACAAAGTCATCCACAACACAGCACACGTTTATTAAACTTTTATTCGCTTTTTTCCCCCAACACAGAAACTAGTTTGCACTTGTACGGGGGGGTGCGGGGTATCGTTGTCCTGCTCTGTGTTGGTAAGGATTGCCCTGAGTGTCACGGTCATTGACACAGCGACACAGCAGGCGCGAGGACCACGGGTCTCTCCACTGCCCGATCCGCCCGTCGGGGTCTTCTCTGACCACCTCGGGATGGCTGGGACCTTCGGGATGAGAAGAGGCGGTGGCCACGTCTGTGGTCAGAAGGGACCCCGGCTCCCAGGCCGCGCCAACTCTGCTGCGCAGGACTTGGTGACCCACGCCCCTTTCCTGGCGTACCTTCTGAAATAAAGCCTTTTGTCCCACTTCCTCAGAGGCCACCCCCCAACCCTCCCGCAACGCCGTTTTTCCCCGACCCTGCTTCGGATCTGCCGCCCACCCCCACCCCCGCCGACGCCAAGGCCCTCCCCGGGCGCCCGCGGATGCCAGGCCGGGTCCCGAGGCGCCGCCCGGCCGCGCTGGCAGCCCTGGCTCCGCAGAAAGCCACCTGCCGGGATCGCGCGGTTCTTAGGTTTCTTTGCCCAGTTTGTCCAGGAAACAGGGCCTGCTGGTGCGGGCAGGTTCCTAGGAAGCGGATGGATGTGGTCCTCGGCTTCTCTGCGGAGGGTTGGGGCGGGAGGGTGTGGGGGAGGGGTGGGTTCCCGGAACATCTGGGGACAGTCAACCAAGAGCTTGCCAGGAGGCCCGTCTGAAAGCGAACATGGCAGACTCGATTCCCGGCCTGCAAGGCCACCAAAACCAAAGGGCAGTTATGGACATAGGCCACTGGTGGCCGAGGCCCCTATTTCCCCTCCAGCTTCCCTCAGTCGCCCGCACTCCCTTTTCAATTTCTTTCCTTCCACACCCTCCGCCGCCCCCGTCTTTGTTTTTTATGGGAGCAGAGGACCCCCTGGGGCTCTGGGGCGCAGCCCAGGCCCCTCCGCCTCTGTGAACTTGACCCGGGAGGGTCCCCCTCGTGCCAGAGCCCCGCCCCCAGGGACCGCCTTCGACGCCGCTGCGGCCCCCGGAGCGCCCTGCTGTCGCGTCGTCTCGCAGCCAGGGGCACGACCTCTCCGGGCCACCCCGGTCGCTTGTCTGTGTGCCACCCGCAAGCCAGGACCAAGACGCGGAGCTGGCTGGGGCTCCGCAGAGACCGACTGGGACCGGAGCTGGGCTGGCCTAGATGTGTGGCGCTGTAGAGATGCGAACTGGGCTCCTAGGTGGCAGGTGGAAGGACTCCTGAGAGCTCCCGGGATCAGCCTCCCTCCCTAAGCCCGGGACTGTCCGTCGCCTAGGCTGTCGTGACCCCGCAGGCGGAGGGGATACCACGTGCCCAGGGCGATCCCATCCTGGTCCTACTCCAAGAGCGTGGGAACCCTGAGTTCCGCCATAGAAACGAAGTTGGCTGCCAGCTGGGAACTCACTTGGCTCAGAAGAGCCGGGGGTAGGTCCCCAGGGCCTCCTTCTCGGCGCCCCACCCCAGAGGCAGTGGCCTAGAGCAGGGGAGTTGGGAGGGAAAGGAAGCCGGCGAGCCTTGCCCTGGGAGTCAGCTGGCTGCTCTCTTTCCCACATCAACAACCGTTCCCGTGAAAATAAACCAGAAAACAACGCATCGCCTTGGGGTGCCGGTGTCTAGAGCCTCCAGATCAGGCAGGGCCAGGCAGAGAGGGCAGATGCGTGGTGCTGGCTGCACTGGTGGGTGCAGGGACTAGTGGGGTGTGTTGGTGTCTGACTCAGCTTTCTTAAAAGAAGCCCCCAAGCCCCTGGAGTACAGGTTGAGAGCTGGATGTGGGACCAGGAGGAAGCAGAAAGAGTTGGCTGCTGGTGTTCGGAGGGTCAGAGCAATGTCAAGTTCCTAACTGCTGTTGACACGGTCTAAGACAGAGGGTGGAGACCTGGGTCTGGGTGAGTGTGGCCTTTGGAGAGAGGCTATAGATCTAGGAGGGTGTTGGGGGTGTCCCCACCATGCTGTCCAATGGAATTTAAGCTTATAGGTGAATGGAGGTAAAGCTAGAATTTTTTTTTTTTTTTTTTTTTGAGACAGGCTGGAGTGCAATGGTTCAATCTCGGCTCACCACAACATCCGCTTCCCGGGTTCAAGCAGTCCTCCTGTCTCAGCCTCCTGAGTAACTGGGATTACAGGCGCATGCCACCACGCCCAGCTAATTTTTGTATTTTTAGTAAGGACCAGGTTTCATCACATTGGTCAGGCTGGTCTCGAACTCCTGACCTCAGGTGATCTGCCCACCTCAGCCTCCCAAAGTGCTGGGATTACAGGTGTGAGTCATCGCGCCCGGCCAAAATAGAAATATTAGGACTCTGGTCGCCTGGAGTCTTTCCTGTCAGCTTTAGATCTGATCAATCTGCATTTTGTGAGGTTTTTTTGTTGTTGTTAGTTTGTCCTGCTTTGTTTTGTTTGAGACAGGGTCTTGCTCTGTGGCTCAGGCTGGACCAGTGGCACAATCATGGCTCACTGCAGCCTCAACTTCCTAGGGTCAAGCAATTCTCCCACCTCAGCTTCTTGAGTAGCTGGGACTTACAGGTATACGCCACCACGGCCTGGCTAATATTTTTTATTTTTAACATTTTTTGTAGCGATGGGATCTTGCTATGTTGCCCAGGCTCATCTTGAACTCCTGGCCTCAGCCTACCGAAGTGCTGGGATTACAGGCATGACCCACCAAGCTCGACCAGAGCCAAATGTCTTAAATACAGGTCTCTCCTCTGTTAATATATTCATGACAGAAAACATGTCTGGCTTTCGGCCAGATGAGAAGATTTCAGCTCTCTCTCCTCCCATGTGCACCAAAGAAAATATCGAAGTGCTGGGATTACAGTGTAAGCCACCATGCCAGGCCTGCGTTTTGTGTTAAGGCACCATATGCCACGTGATCCTTCACCAAACTTAGTTATAATCTCGGGAAAACAAACTGATGGAAATTCTGTCTTACAAGAAAAGACCACCCAAATTACTGGAAGCTTAGGCACTTGCACCAAAAGGCATAATCATATATACATATATAAAAGTGCTGGGATTACAGGCGTGAGCCACCATGCTTGGACAATCATATTATTATAGAACGACAGTAACTGTATTCATCATAAACTAAGTAGGTTACAAGCATCATCTCACCCAATACTCAGAACATCCTCTAAGATAGGTGGATCTCGCCCCCCACCCCTGCCCCCGCCAATTTTTTTTTTTTAATGAGTGACACAGTCTCTCTGTCCACAGCCCCAGCTCTCACCACCACTCCTTGGATTTCCTTCTTTCCTTCCAGCAGATCTCAGTGTACACCTAGGCATATGAGTAGATTCAAGATCGCTGGTATATATTCATCCATGATCCTTTCCTTCCTTCATCATGGTGTTGAATAGGCCCCCTGCCAAGCTCTGAGACTACCAAGTAGGCAACTTTCTCTGTCCTCAAGATGTCCCCCAGGTAGAGGGGCAAGAAAGACAAATAGATCATTTTTGATGCAATAACTATGTGAAAAGTCTCGCCCAATGATGTGTGAGCCCAGAGGGAGAGTGCCAAGAGGTGCCCTGAAATGTTCCACCAAAGGGGCAAGTGTAGTCTGGCACACAGAGGAGGCCAAGGAGCTTACAGAGCAGAGCAAGGACAAAGAGGGTTCCAGGAGGGAAAAGAAAGAAGCAGTGGCACAGGGCAGAGAAAGGGAGAATGTCGCAGACGCTAAGAATGCCGTGTGTCCTGAGTAGGGGACAAGTGAGGGAAGCAGATCCATGCCACAGTGACTTGACTTCATAAATCAAGCTAAGTGCCTTTATCCTGCGGGCTGTGGGGACCCAGGGATGGGCTTTATACAGAACAGCAGCATGCTCAGAAAGAGTTAAAGAGGTAGAGATTCTAGGCCAGGAGCGGTGGCTCACACCTGTAATCCCAGTGTTTTGGGAGGCTGAGGAGGGAGGATTGCTTGAGCCCAGGAGTTTGAGACCAGCCTGGGCAACACAGCAAGATCCCATCTCTACGAAAAATTTAAAAATTAGTCAGGTACATGGCATGTGCCTGTAGTACTAGCTACTTGGGAGGATGAGGTGGGAGGATTCCTTGAGTCCAGAAGTCTGAGGCTGCAGTGAGCTATGATTGTGCCACTGTACCCCAGCCTGGGCAACAGCGCGAGACCCTGTTTCTGAAAAAGAACTTATACATTCTCGATGCCATTCTGGGAACTAGCGTCTCCCCTTCCCTCATCCACACGCCCAGTGTTTGTCTTGGTGCTTCAAATTTTGTAAAATAATTGGTGGTGACATTGTTTTTGCAAAATGCTTCATCACACCAAGGCTGTGTTTCTCTGTTTTTTCAAGAAAACCGCGTGGTCCTACGGGGTTGTGTATGTGTGATGAGAAGAACAGCCCTGTTCATTTACTTTGTTTCCAAGTCACAGCCTTGCCTGGACCAAATGTACCCTGACAGTTTCCCTATGGCAAGGGGGACAAAGCAAAGCCCAGAAGGTGAGCAGAGACACCACCTGGGAAACCACATCACCATGCACCTGTCCGTGATGGGAGAGAGAAAAGAGGGCAGCGTGCTCTCATGAATATATGGCAGGTATCTACAAACCCTCCTGCTAATTGATGAGCTCTCTATATATCATCCTAGATAAAGGGCCACTGTGCAGTAAACGCTGATGTTTAGAACATCCTGATAGGGCTTTGTTAACAAGAAGATAACAGAAGAGCAAGATATGTTTGTTTAGCTGCCTATAGATAAACCCAATAGGTCTTTGTTAACTTTCCATGACTGATGGCAACCACTAACCATGATAAATACTCCTGGAATGGTGAACTTTATTTAAAGGGCTAGAAAGGGGGCCTACATTTTTAGCTTTTCTGAACAAGGAAGAAGTATTTTCTGAGTGTGCCTATATATGTCCTTGTACACCAACATCTGCTTTTCTGTTAATACTTTTATTTTTAATTTTTTTTGAAACAGGATCTCTTCGTGTCACCCAATCTGGAGTGTAGTGTCATGATCACTGCTCACTGCAGCCTTGACCTCCCAGGCTCAAGCCATCCTCCCACCTCAGCCTCCTGAGTAGCGGGGACAAAAGGCATTCGCCACCACGCCTGCCTAATTTTTAATTTTTTTGTAGAGACAGTCTTTCTACATTGCTTAGGCTGGTCTTGAACTCATGGGTTCAAGGGATCCTCCTGCCTCGGCCTCCCAAAGTGCTGGGATTACAGGTGTGAGCCACCGCATCCAGCCTCTCTTAATAATTTTAAACCATCAGCTGAACCTCTGAACCAGATTGACCCTTGATACTTTTTCAGGGTATGCTCTGTTCCTGTCACATGGAAGCTGAGCCAGTCTAAGAATGGCATTTTATAAACAAGTCTTCAAAAGATTGGCAGAACCTTGAGAAACTGATGCATATGTTTTTCTAGCAACTAGAAACAGGTAGAAATATGAAAATATGCTTTTTTAACATTTGTGAGGCATATGAGAGCCAGAGGTACTTGTCCCTGCAATGTGGGAAGTGAAGTCTTACACCAAACCGATTGCTGATTTTTTTTTTTTTTTTTTTTTTTTGAGATGGAGTCTTGCTTTGTCACCCAGGTTCGAATGCAGTGGCAAGATCTTGGCTCACTGCAACCTCCATCTCCCGGGTTCATGCAATTCTCTTGCCTCAGCCTTCCGAGTAGCTGGGATTACAGGCATGCGCCACCACGCCTGGCTAATATTTGTTTTTTGTTGTTTTGTTTTGTTTTGTTTTGTTTTTGAGACGGAGTCTTGCTCTGTCGCCCAGGCTGGAATGCAGTGGCATGATCTCAGCTCACTGCAACCTCCGCCTCCTGGGTTCAGGCGATTCTCCTGCCTCAGCCTCCTGAGTAGCTGGGATTACAGGCAGACGCCACCACGCCCGGCTAATTTTTGTATTTTTAGTAGAGACAGGATTTCACCATGCTGGCCAGGCTGGTCTCGAACACCTGACCTCGTGATCCACTGGCCTCGGCCTCCCAAAGTGCTAGGATCACAGGTGTGAGCCACTGCACCCGGCCCAATTTTTGTATTTTTAGTAGAGACAGGGTTTCAACATATTGGTCAGGCTGGTCTTGAACTCCTGACCTCAAGTGATCCACCCACCTCAGCCTCCCAAAGTGCTGGGATTACAGGTGTGAGCCAGCATGCCCAGCCCCGATTGCTGATTAAGGACTGATTTTTAAAAGCTGAGGAAAGGCAGGGCATGATGGCTCACACCTGTAATCTGAGCACTTTGGGAGGCTGAGGTGGACAGATCGCTTGAGGTCAGGAGTTCGAAACCAGCCTGGCCAACGTGGTGAGACCTCATTTCTACTAAAAATACAAAAATTAGCTGGGTATGATGGTGTACACCTATAATCCCAGTTACTCAGGAGGCTGAGGCAGGCAGTTACTCAGGAGGCTGAGGCAGGAGAATTGCTTGAACCTGAGAGGCAGAGGTTGCAAGGAGCCAAGGTTGTACCACTGCACTCTAGCCTGGCAACAGAGTGAGACTCTGTCAAAAAAAAAAAAAAAAAAAAAGCTGAGGAGGTAAATTGTTTGTTTATTTTGTTGTTGCTGTTTGAAAGTGATGTCTTGTCTGCTGAGGCATGTCATTCCTTTAATGAGATAGAGAGACAGAGTAAGGCCTGCTATGCCCAGAACCTACCCAAAATGAAAGTCTCAAAGCACAGTGGAGCCAGCTGTTTCATGAATCCAGTTACAAAGAGAGCAAACTTTTGTGCTGTTGAAAAAAGTATTATTATGCTGTTATCTTTAATGCCATCTTTTAAAAGAAGGCAATCATTTTTACTAACAACATCATTTCAATTTTATCTTTGCTAAAACACTCAGGAGGAGGGAGGGGTTTGACCCGACCTTATAATCCTCCTGAACCTGCAGACTAATCCATTTTGATGGAAGAAGTGATATTGGGCCTCCGAACTTAACCAGATTTGCCACCAGTAAATGGAGGTCCTGGGTGAAATGATGTTTGAGTTAATAAAAAGAATATTAAAATAAATTCATTCTTTTTTTTTTTTTTTGAGACGGAGTTTCACTCTTGTTACCCAGGCCGGAGTGCAATGGGGCAATCTCGGCTCACTGCAACCTCCACCTCCCAGGTTCAAGCAATTCTCCTGTCTCAGCCTCCCAAGTAGCTGGGATTACAGGTGCCTGCCACCACGCCCAGCTAATTTTTGTATTTTTAGTAGAGATGGGTTTTCACCATGTTGGCCAGGCTGGTCTCAAACTCCTGACCTGAGGTGATCCGCCCACCTCGGCCTCCGAAAGTGCTGGGATTACAGGCCTGAGCCGCTGTGACCGGCCTTTTTTTTTTTTCTTTTTTTCTTCTTTGAGACATAATCTCACTGTGTCGCCCAGGCTGGAATGCAGTGGCCTGATCTCAGCTCACTGCAACCTCCGCCTCCCAGGTTCAAGCAATTCTCCTGCCTCACCCTCCCGAGTAGCTGGGACTACAAGTGCATGCCACCACACCTGGCTAATTTTTTTTTTTTTTTTTTTTTTTTTGTATTTTTAGTAGAGACGGGTTTTCACCGTGTTAGCCAGGATGGTCTCAATCTCCTGACCTCGTGATCCGCCCGCCTCGGCCTCCCAAAGTGCTGGGATTACAGGCGTGAGCCACCGAGGCCGGCCAAATTCATTCTTAATGTTGAAAAATTTCTATTCCCAAAAGCCACAGGTTAAATATGTTCTAAAGTACTAGGAAAAGGGTGTGTGTGTATGTGTGTGTGTGTGTTCAAATGTGTCACAAATTAGAGGGGTGTGGTAGCACACACCTGTAATCTCAGCTACTTGGGAGGCTGATGCAGGAGAATTGCTTGAACCCGGGACGCGGAGGCTGCAGTGAGCCGAGATTGCACCACTGCACTCTAGCCTGAGTGACAGAGCGAGACTCCGTCTCCAAAAAAAAAAAAAAAAAAAAAAAAGTGTCACAAATAAGAAAGAGCTATTGTAATTCAGCTCCCTTTTTGGTTCTCAGAGAAAACTCCAATTTGAGTCATTCTATGGGGCAGCTTAATACTAAAAGCATCAGGTTTGACTTCCTAGACTCCCTGGAACCACAAGTTCACCTCCCAAAGGGGCTGGGCTCAACCCTTCCTTCTTCCTATGCAATAATAGCATGGAAACCAGGTTATCTCTGTGGCCAACTTTCAGGAAAGACCTTGAAAACAGAGAGGAGGGCGGCCCTTAGTGACCAAGTGGAGCTTCCCATCACAGTGGGAGTTTGCTGTAGGGGTGGCTGGAACTACTGGGGCCGGGCAGCAACTAAATGCCACACTGATCCCAAGAGATAACTCAACTCGGCTTTTTAATAGCAGTCCATTTAAAAGGCTGCGCTAGACTGCCGAGGGGAGCCGGCTCCACTTACCTTGTGTAAAGCCGTTGGGTGGCTCCATCAGATTAGGTGTGAGAGAGTCGGGGAATTTGGAATGTTGACTTTCATGGCCAGGATTGGGCGGTATTTCTATAGTGCCTTCCTATCTTAGCACTCTCTGTTTTCTATCCCTGGTTTGTGGGTTGGCTCGGGTAGAACACGATTAATGGCTTATTTTGGGTGTTTGATTTTTGGTTTTGGTTTTGTTTTTTTGGCTCAAAGATCTGTCGTCCTAGCCTGAGTCTAAAAACTGCTGAAATTCTAGCATGCTTTTTGAAACCTTGTGCTGTTTCTTTGCATAAAACTCTTTCCACTCGCCTTCACACACCGTTTGCCTAATTTTGACATCACTCCTCTTAATATGAAAGATCAGCTTTTCTTGTGAAAAAAAAAAAATCAGACAATGCCAGTGAAGACAAGCAGACAGCTGTGTAAAGGTGTGTTTGCTTTAGTGACGTGGGCTGTCCCCACACCAGAGCAGTGACTGAAGGGAAGAGAGGAGGGACTCATCTGGGTCTTTCCTGAGTTTTGCTCCAAAACTTTAATTTTTCCTCTGATGTTTGAGCACTAACGAAACACGATGAAGAACTTAATGAAAATTATGAGCACACTCTTATCAACCACATCCTTGTTTCTGAGTGCATTACACATACTGTAAATTTAGACATGTCGGCCGGGCATGGTGGCTCACACCTGTAATCCCAGCACTTTGGGAGGCTGAGGTAGGCAGATCACCTGAGGTCAGGAGTTTGAGACCAGCCTGGCCAACATGGTGAAACACGTCTCTACTAAAAATATAAAAATTAGCCAGGACTTGTGGCACGCACCTATAATCCCAGGTACCCAGGAGGCTGAGGCAGGAGAATCGCTTGAACCTGGGAGGTGGAGATTGTAGTGAGCTGAGATCGTGCCATTGCACTCCAGCCTGGGTAACAAAGCCAGAGACTCTGTCTCAAAAAAAAAAAAAAAAAAAAAGTATATATATATATATATATAGCCATGTCGTGTGACTTCTGTATCTGGAAACTACACAACTGCAAAATTTTCCCATAAATGTATAGAATATGAAGTGATGTCAGCTATATTGAGTGATTACATTCTGCATTTTTATACAAACATCCTTCACATGAATCCATATACACAAACGTAGGTGTGCTTCTGCAAGACCGAGTGGGCAGGTGTCAGACATCACTGTTACTTGGGAAAGGGGGTGAATAACCCTTTATGGCATAAATACCATCTTCTGAATTCAGCCAGAATTCCTACTGCATTAAATTACTGTATTGTCTGTGACTATACACTGAAACACGGGGCTCGCTTTGTTCGGGTAGTCTGGTAATTTGAAGCTCTCAAGCAGGTTTCGCTATTTTGTAATCCAAAGGCAAGCCTTCTCTATTGCTTTTAGTGATTTGAAACAAAGTTTATTGACAATGATTTGCACATAAAAACATTTGGGAAAATAACTAGCCATTCAAGAAATGGAGTAGATGTTGAAAAAGGGCTAAATTACCTCCTAAATGCTAGAAACAGCATGGAAGCAGTTGAGATGCCCGTAGCTTCAGTGTACGTATAGGAACAAGTTAATCTATGTTCACATTAATAGTTAAATCAAGGCAATAGAGAATTTTCACTACCATTGGATACAAACCACTGACAACTGATACTTTGTATGTAAGTGCAGGCTCCTGGATACATAAAATACACACTTAATGAAAAGTTGTTAGTAAGTTGAAAATGTCACACTATCTGTCCATTTCCCTTCTTTCATTTTATTGACAATAAACCAACAGAAATGCCTCTGCCCTGTTTTGCCCAGCCGTTTGTAATTAAAGAGACACGCCGGGGTGCAGGAATTTTTTAAACGCCCTCACTCCCTCAGCAGCTCTCGGTCATTCCACTTCCACCCCCAAGACAACCATTTCTACAGCTGGAGACATTTCCTTCTGCTCCTGTTTTTACCTTCTGCTCTTGCAAGAGGTAACCAACCTGGGAAGGATGGCGTATGCGCCCCCTTTTTGGAACCTCATTTTCTTCTCTCTCTCTCTCTCCCCACCTGCCCCCTCTTTCTTTCTTTTTTGAGACAGGGTCTTGTTCTGTGGCCCCAGGCTAGAGTGCAGTGGTATGATCACAGCTCACTGCAGCCCCAAACTCCTGGGCACAAGTGCGCCTCCTGCCTCAACCTCTCCAGCTGGGACTACAGGTGTGCACCACCATGTTGGGTAATTTTTTGTTTTTTTGTAGAGACAGGGTCTTGCCATGTTGCCCAGGCTGGTCTTGAACTCTTGGGCTCAAGTGATCCTCCCATCTTGGCCTCCCCAAGTCCTGGGATTATAGGTGTGAGCCACCGCACCCCACCCTTATTTCTTTTTCTTTCTTTCTTTCTTTCTTTCTTTCTTTCTTTCTTTCTTTCTTTTTTTTTTTTTTTTTTGAGATGGAGTCTCACTCTGTCGCCCAGGCTGGAGTGCAGTGGCGCAATCTCGGCTCACTGCAAGCTCCGCCTCGCGGGTTCATGCCATTCTCCTGTCTCAGCCTCCTGAGTAGCTGGGACTACAGGCGCCCGCCACCTCGCCCGGCTAATTTTTTTGTATTTTTAGTAGAGACGGGGTTTCACTGTGTTAGTGAGGAAGGTCTCAATTTCCTGACCTTGTGATCTGCCTGCCTTGGCCTCCCAAAGTGCTGGGGGGAGGGGATTATAGGCATGAGCTACCGTGTCCGGCCCCTTATTTCTTTTTTGACTTTAAGCCTATTCTTTAATTCAACCAAATTCACATTTAAAAAACTTCAGGTGAGTCAATTCTGTGGTTCCATTCACACCACACGCTTATCCCTTCATCTCTTGATTCCAGTTGTAACAGGCATTGGAGTCACTTGCTCTGACACAGAACTGATTTATTTATAAGTTTTCAAATCTCAAACACAGAATGTTATAGCTACAACAGCATGGAGATGTCACGTGACCTCTTGGTTTCAGAATGTAAGTGCTGAGGCCATTGGGAGAGTGATGGTTAAATCAAGGCAATAGAGAATTTTCACTACCATTGGATACAAATCACTGACAACTGGTATTTTGTATATAAGTGCAGGCTCCTGGATACATAAAATAGAGACTTTTCACTAACATTGGATACAAACCACTGACAACTGATATTTTGTATATAAGTGCAGGCTCCTGGATACATAAAATACACACTTAATGAAAAGTTGTTAGTAAGTTGAAAATGTCACACTATCTGTCCATTTCCCTTCTTTCATTTTATTGACAATAAACCACCATGCAGTTGGTGAGGAAGTATGGCTATGCTGTGAGTGCTTCCTGGACCAGCCTCCTTCCTGGCCATGGGAAAGATGAGGATGACAATGAAGGAGAAGGTGTATCTACTTTTGTGGCTGCTCTAGTAGCGCACTGTGCAGTATGGTAGCTCCTAGCCACCAGTGGCTGTCAAAATTAAAGTTAGGCCAGGTGCGGTGGCTCATGTCTGTCATCCCAGCACTTTTGGAGACTACGGTGGGTGGTTTGCTTGAGCTCAGGAGTTTGAGATCAGTCTGGGCAACATAGAGAAATCCTGACTCTGCAAACAAACAAACAAAGAAAATCAGCTGGGCTTGGTGATGCACACCTGTAGTCTCAGCTACTCGGGAGGCTGAAGGGGGAGGATTGCTTGAACCCAGGAGGTTGAGGTTGTGGTGAGCCATGATCACACCTCTGTACTCCAGCATGGGCAACAGGCTGAGACCTTGTCTCAAGATAAATTCTTTAAAAAAGGATAAATAAATAATAAATTAAAATTTAAAAAATTAAAAATCAGTCTCTCAGTGGCAGTACACTAGCCACATTTCAAAGGCGCAAATCACCACCTGTAGCAGTGGCTGCTGATGGGAAAGTGTAGAAATTGTAGAGCACTTCCATAATCACAGAAAGCTCTGTTGACCAGCCTGAGCCCCTGCATTGAGCACAATGATTCAAACACAAAGATTTGGGCCAGGCGCAGTGGCTCACATCTGTAATCCCAGCACTTTGGGAGGCCGAGGGGGGTGGATCACGATGTCAGGTGATCAAGACCATCCTGGCCAACAAGGTGAAACCCCGTCTCTACTAAAATACAAAAAATTAGTCAAGCATGGTGGTGCATGCCTGTAGTCCCAGCTACTCGGGAGGCTGAGGCAGGGGAATCGCTTGAACCCGGGAGGTGGAGAGTGCAGTGAGCCAAGATCACGCCACTGCACTCTAGCCTGATGACAGAGTGAGACTCCATCTAAATATATATATATATATATGTATACAAACATTTGTATGCTGAACAGATCCCTAAATATCTGTCAGGGAGAAGGAGTGCCGTGATATCTCCTCTACTCTATAAGTGAATGCATCCCTACAACTGGCCTACATCGAGAATGTTTTGAAAATCTCTCCTCATTTTAAGCATAAGTTGGGTTCTTACTTTATCTGATGCATTTACTGTGTGGGTTGTTTTGAGAATGGAAATGCAAGCATGGACGTGCAGAATGTAGGGGAGGCCTACCCCTGGCCTTTTCTCCATGATTTATTATTCCGTTTACTCCTCAGAGATTGTTGAGTGCAGTGCTTCCAAAACACCGTAGCCAAATCCATTCCACATCAACCTGCTGCCTGTTCACACTGGTCGTGAGTCCTGCTATTGGCTGCATTTCCTAGGAGTGGGGCTGTGTCGTGTCTATCCCTCTGCTCTTCACCTCGGTACCACACTGACATGTGTCACATCCAACTGGTTGCCCACTCAGAAGTGCACCGGGAGAAAGCCTCTTTCTTCTGGCCATCTCCTGTATCGAATCAGTCATTTGTTCTTACAAACTGCCTAGTGAATGAATGTCTTGTCCAGCTTCCCAATCCTTGATTGTAATATTAAGATCACTTATTTGTATGAAATGTTGAAATCTAGAATTGGAGACTCATGGAAAACCCAGAATTCATGAAAACATGGGGAAAAAAGCCACAATAGATACTATAGCTATTAATACCATTTATCGAGCTTTTACCACGTGAAATGCTTTTTATATGGCCAGGCACGGGGGCTCATGCCTGTAATCCCAGCACTTTGGGAGGCCAAGGCAGGCCGATCACTTGAGGTCAGGAGTTCGAGACCAGCCTGGCCAACATGGCGAAACCCCATCTCTACTACAAAAAAAAAAGGGGGTTTTATATGACCAAAGTTTTTTTTTTTTTTTTTTTTTTTTTCTGAGATGGAGTCTCACTCTGTCACTCAGGCTGGAGTGCAGTGGCATGATCTTGGTTTACTGCAATCTCTGCCTCTTGGATTCAAGCGATTCCCCTGCCTCAGCCTCCCAAGCTGGGACTACAGGTGTGTGCTACCACGTCCGGCTTTTTTGTATTTTTAGTGCAGATGGGGTTTCACCATGTTGGCCAGGATGGTCTCGATCTCCTGACCTCATGATCCACCCACCTTGGCCTCCCAAAGTGCTGGGATTACAGGCATGAGCCACCTCACCTGGCCATATTTATTTATTTATTTATTTAGAGACAGGGTCTCGCCCTGTCACCCAGGCTGGAATGCAGTAGTATGATCATGGCTCACTGTACCTTCAACCTTCTGGGTTCAAGCCATCCTCCCACCTCAGCCTCCAGATGAGCTGGGACCACAGGCGCATGCCATCTTGCCCAGCTGGTTTTTAGTTTTACAATTTTTTTGTAGAGATGGGGTCTTGTTATGTTGCCCAGGCTGGTCTCAAACTCCTGAGCTCAAGTAATCCCTCCCAACTCCCAAAGTGTTGAGATTACAGGCATGAGCCACCACGCCTGGCTAGATTGTTTTAATTGTAAAACAGCAAGCAGAAAAATGGCTAAAACTGATATACACAATTTTAGCAAACAGATATAAAGAGAATCCTGTATAACACTGCCCAGGTCAAGGGGCAAGATGTTCCTTGTCCCCAGGAAGCTGCCCTGAGCTTGCTCACTCCTTCCCCATCAAAACTCCCTTTCTTCCCAGAGGCAGCCGCCACCCTCACTTTTATTAGGAACTCTTGCTTTCCCATCTTTGCACGCATCCCTAAACAAGACAGTGTGGTTCAGTCTCTTTAAAAACTTTCTATACAGGGAATCCTAGGTATTCTTTTTATTCTAGAGATGGAGTTTCACTCTTGTTGCCCAGGCTGGAGTGCAGTGGCACAATCTCAGCTCACTGCAACTTCCACCTCCTGGGTTCAAGGGATTCTCCTGCCTCAGCCTCCCAAGTAGCTGGGACTACAGGCGCCCGCCACCATGCCTGGCTAATTTTTGTATTTTTAGTAGAGATGGGGTTTCACCATGTTGGTCAGGCTGATCTTGAACTCCTGACCTCAGGTGATCCACCTGCCTCAGCTTCCCAAAGTGCTGGGATTACAGGCGTGAGCTACCGCGCCCAGCCGGAATCCTATGTATCCTTATGTTTAATGTTGCTTTACATTTTGTGCTATCTCCTTAGTCTCATTGACCTACAGCTGAACACTGGTCAAACTGAAGGGAGAAACAATCACCTTTCAATGGCACTTCTGGTTTGCACCCACTTCTGAGGTGTGTCCTGCCTTTGGGTACGTAGCCTGTGACGGCTCTCTGCAGCCCTGGGGCACGCTGTCTCCTCCACCGCTGTATTCCCACAGTGCACAATGTGTCTTGCTCAGAGCAATGTCTGATGAACATTTTTTAGAGAAATGTATGAATGTGGGCCAGGCGCGGTGGCTCACGCCTGTAATCCCCCACTTTGGGAGGCCGAGGCGGGCGGATCACAAGGTCAGGAGATCGAGACCATCCTGGCTAACACGGTGAAACCCCGTCTCTCCTAAAAATACAAAAAATTAGCCGGGCGTGGTGGCGGGCACCTGTAGTCCCAGCTACTCAGGAGGCTGAGGCAGGAGAATGACGTGAACCCGGGAGGTGGAGCTTGCAGTGAGCCGAGATCGTGCCACTGCACTCCAGCCTGGGTGAAGAATGAGACTCTGTCTGAAAAATTAAAAAAAAAAAAAAAAAAAAAAGAAATGTATGAATATGGCTGAGTGTGGGACATCCTGGGCCTAATATTTGTTTTTGTGAATGTTGTAAATAACAATGTCAAAATAAATAAAATGAAGGAAAATTAGGAATTGGCTATCAAGAAATCAGCTGTAAATAATTCACTTTTTGGCTGGGCGCAGTGGTGCACGTCTGTAATCCCAGCACTTTGGGAGGCTGAGGCGGGCGGATTGCCTGAGCTCAGGAGTTCGAGACCACCCTGGACAACATGGTGAAACCTCATCTCTACTAAAACACAAAAAATTAGCCAGGTGTGGTGGCAGGTGCCTGTAGTCCCAGCTACTGGGGAGGCTGAGGCAGGAGAATCACTTGAACCCAGAAGACGGAGGTTGCAGTTAGCCGAGATCGTGCCACTGACTTCGATCCAGCCTGGGCGACAGAGGGAGACCCTGTCTCCAAAGAAAAAAGAAAATTCACTTTTTGGCCTGGTGCAGTGGCTCGTGCCTATAATCCCAGTACTTTGGGTGGAGGCAGGAGGATCACTTGAGCCTAGGAGTTCAACACGAATCTGGGCAATCCTGTCTCTACAAAAAAATAAAAAATTAGCAAGACATGTGGCACATGCCTTTGGTCCCAGCTGCTCAGGAGGTCGAGGCCACTGTGATTACACCACTGCATTCCAGCCTGGGTGACAAAGTAAGACCCTGTCTCATAAATAAATAAATAAATAAATATTCACTTTCTAAAAGCTAGCAGAAAAAATTTAATCCACATCCCAAACAGTATAATAAGAAATAATCAGAATATAACTTGATAATGTTTTTGGATGATTTGAACTTCCTCTGGTAAGTACTTCTGATGCTCTAAATGAGTTAACCAGATGAGAACAAACATTTTCTTCAAACCATTTAACTTGGCAATAGTTAACTCATTAAGGATAATAACAATGACATTCTTCAGGTTTGTGTTTTTTTTTTTTTAAAAAAAGATAGTCCTATTCTGAACATTTCATTAATCAAAAACAAGACCAAACCCCCCCCCCCCCCAAAAAAAAAAAAAAAACCCACGAAACTTCAAAAGGTGAAAATACTGACTAGGTTCTAAGGATATGGTAGGAAATGGTTGCTTAGGGCTATGTACCTAAAATGAACTTCTGTTCTGAAAGCCCAACAAAAACTGTGTGGTACATGTATCTATCTACATATATTTTCTCACGTCATGTCTACTCTGCTAATTCCTAGGATAGTTAATGCAAACATTTGGTAAGCTCTTATTTTGTTATGCATGTAAAATTTAAAAGCATGAAGCTCTAGTAACATTAAAAAATAGTTGCAGTCTAAGGTGGATAGAAAGATGATGTATGGAAAAATGGGACAAGAGTAATATGGAATACGCTTAGAATTTCATGCAATACACTTTAATACATAGTATACTTTGGGAACAATTCCAAAATCATGGAGCCAGCGGAAGGGCTAGAGCAGCTCAGAAACCAGGCAACTGGAAATGAACTTGGTTCTGATACATCATTGCCATTTCCAAAAAACGTGCGTAGCAAATGTGGACGAAATGAATGAAACCATGTAACAATGTTCTTCAAACTAAATTTAAAACTGAGTTGCCCAGAACGAAAAAAATAACCACTAGCCATTTTAATAACTCATATGTAGATTAAATGAACAAGCTGTCCACCTAAATATCTCATTTCGATGTCATCTACTCGCCTGCACACATGGATTAATAGTTACTTTATACTTTTTAGGCTGCAGCGAACGCAAGATTCTCAAAGAAATAGTTTCCTAACAGAATGACTGATACCATTGTGGAAAGAGACATTATTCAGGACATTATCTGTTTCATTCTTCCGTCAAGGTAACTCATCTACTTTTAGACTTACACTTCTAAAGAAAACTGCTATGATCTAAAGAGATTGGCCATAAAACTATTTGTATTGAAAACATAGCCAGCGTGGCTTTAGTGAACTTTTTTCATTAGCATTCTTAGTGGCAAGGTTTCCATATCTCAGTGTTCATTTTATACTTTAATTTGGTTAGTAGGTCTTTGTTTAATCATCCCATTGAAAGGAGAACAAAGGCGGTTTAGGTGATACAGGAGAGTAATGCACTATATTTTATCTCTGAAAAAAGCCCGACAAAGTCAGAAGACTCTGATAGCCTCTGGTTTTCTCCAGGACATTTGGAACCACAAATCAGTCAGGGGATAAAGATCCTCACTGTGCCTCACTGTAGACACCTTTGGAAGAGAAACACCTTGTCAGCCACAGAAATTAAGCTCTGCCAGTTCCATCTGGCTCTGACGGCAGATCATCACACCAGAAGAGCGTCTCGGTTTCATGAGGTGAGGGTCTGTTTCTCAAATACCATCTCCCTCAATAAAATCACTAGTCAGGACAATCCCCGCCCCCCCCGCATTACTTCTCTTAATAAAGTATTGATGCTATTCAAATGACAGTGCTGGGCTAAATGAAAGCCGGTCAGGGTTTTGCTTCCAACTGGAACACTGCAAGCCCTCTAAAGGGAAATACTTCTCATTCCTTTGTGTCGAATTCTGCTACAGTAGTTCCTCAAATTGCTGCTGTTGCGATTTCCTTCTCCCTCAAAAGTCAAAACCCATTTTTCCCTGATGTTTGGGTCCCTGAACTTTTTCTTCTGATCAAATCATCCTCCCCACTTAACCCTCTCCCCTCTCACCCAATATAGGCTTTTCTTTTCCGGTTTTGCTTGACTTCATTAAGGAAAGTAAATTAATCTCTGTTTGTCTGTGGTATTTGTAAGTTGCTCTTTTTTCTTCGGTATTACTTTCTGGAGAATGACTACGCCCAACTTTCTAACTTTTTCTTTGTAATGTGGATGTTTTATTTTCTAATCCACATTTCTCTTTGCAGTTTCTTGAACTTCCTTTGGTTGGTGTCACAGCCAGCCACCCAGTAGAGACTGAGACCACCAGTTCATTTCACACAGGCCACTGAACAGTCATAAGATGGTGACAACTTTTGGTCTCTAGTGACCTGGACTGGATCCGACTCACTGACCTAGAGGTGAAAGGCTCTGTATTCCATTACTAATCCCTCGAGCTCTCCAGCCCCCTGAAAATGATTCTTTGGTTTTATTATTGCAAAGACCATTTATAAAATCATGAACTGGATTTAGGAAAGCAACCATGAAATAGCAAGGGACAACAAACTGATTGAAATTCCTTAAATGTAGCATGGGCTGAAGTCTCTCAGACAGTAAGATTGGGGGGAAAGTTATATATAGGCACCTCCATTCTGATTTCAGTAGCGTGACCTGCTCACTTAAACGTGGCAACTTCAGATCATGGACCACGCCTCAAGGAACTAAATCCTAAATAAAGAAAATGGAAAAGCAAACTATGAAATAGCCAATAATCTTTATTTTGCACTTCCCCCACCCCTCACCCCTCTCCAAAAACCACTAACGCGCATTTTTGTGCATGTGAAAATATTGTATAAAGTATTTAGAATGATCTCAAATTAATCAAACAAAAAAACACATATCTCAACATAGATGCTTTGTTTCTTAGCGGGGATAGAAAAATTCTGGCCTCTTGAACAACGAGGGCAATGACACCCTGTGCTCCGAAGAGGTCGACTCCATTTCCACTGATTTGCAACTTAACATTCATGGCAGAAAACCGCATTTCTCTAACCACATAATGTTTTAAAATATGACTAATTCATACACTAATATCAATTTACTTGGCATTTAAAAAAATCACATTTTCTAGTAATATATTTGTATTAGGTTCAAAGCCCATATTCTAGCATCCAACAGATCCAGCACATGGGCCTACACTGGGATTATTTCAAAATCAAGTAAAAGTCCGTATTTATCCCAAAGTTGCTAAAATATGCTAATAAAGTTAAATTTGATGTTTTTTTAACATTAAAAATAAAATATTTGGTTTACCTCTCAGACATCTATAACATATAATAAATAGTGGGCAGTATAATAATATAATAAAGTTTTGTGATACCCTGAAATTTGATGAGTTTTCTTAAAAAAATTCATAATATACTTCATTTCAGCCTTAAAGCACAATATTAATGAACAGATTTGTAGAAATAAAACAATATAAAGACAAAATGCTACAGTATATGTGGGTTTTTTGTTGTTTTTTTTTTTTACTTTCATGGAAACTACATGTCCTTTTAGTAAAAGTCTGTCAAAGAAATTTACAAAAACAAAATAGACAACAAACAAAACAACTTCAAGTCATAAACTCTAAATTTAAATTGCCTTGTTTTCCTTCCAACTGCTCGGGCCCTTTCCCCACCATGTTTCCGGGCACTGCGCAGGCTGAGCTCAAGGGAAATTTCTTTGAACGATGGCTTTTTCTCTAGCCTTGTTTCTGTCCAGCGTCATTACAGACCTGGCTGAAATCACAGTGGATTTCAGAGAAAGCCAGAATTAAACACGATAAAAATTTAAAAAATAACTACTTCATAAATATTTATTATTTACATTAGGGGCAATCTTTTAGTCTGAAGAGTTTTTATACAAGTTGATGAAATGTACAAGCAGTGAGAAGAGACTCCAGCAGTTTAAAGAAGGGCAAAATTAGAATGCAACGAAGATATAAAATACATTAAACAAAAATAATTTGCACAAAAGCAAACAGGACATGATAGAAACCTTTTTCTTAAAAAATATAAGGTATTTCACAAAAGCCTGAACATTTTACATGTTAGTACTAAAAACGGGGGAAGGAGGGAAGCTTCATATATTCTTATCACAAAAATATTTACCGGTACTCCAACTGGAGTTTTCTTTTATGTTATTCTGATTATCTTACTATAGAGGGAAAGGGGCTGAAAACTGTATACAGACTCTATCATCCTTAAATTACAGTTGAGGCAGTTTGTACATTATCTTCTCATCTAATACCTCAATGAAAAGGCCCTGGAGAGAATAAAGGAAATCAAAAGGGAAGATGTACGCTCTTTATTAATAATACTTGTCACTGGTATTAGAGAAGTGGAGGAGGGGCAGCCCCCAGGCCACGCCTCTGCTTGAGTTTCCTTCTGTCGCACTGCCACGGAGCCACAGGCCAAGGCGGCTCGGGAGTGAACAATCCAGGTGCGCGGTGTGTTCCAGCCTCAGTCCTCCTGGGTTCTTTATCCACAGGCATCTGGGGGTGGATGTGACGGCAGACTTGCACCAGCTCCCTTCCAGAGGCGCCAGGGAAGAAGCCCGGGCTGACCCCGCTTGGTCCAGCCCCTCGGGAGTCGTCAGTGGGCTCGATGCTTCCTCTTCTTGTGCTTTTTGTCCTTCTTCTTGTTCGCACACTTGGGGCAGAACCACTGCATCTCTTCTGGGGGTGCAGTCATGATTCCAACACAGGGCCTGCACGTGAAAACAAGCTCAGATAAGCAACTTTTATACAGACATCTATTCTTCTCCCTTCCATGTTTTAAAGTAATTTTTTAGAGTCTATGACATGTTTACCCGAAATCAAAGTCAAGCAGCACTAACTTGTGTGTAGCACTATTGTTGGGCATGCGGACTATGAGATCACAGATGCTCCCTTTACAGGCCCCCTGCAGAGACTCATCCGTTCATTCATCCTCTCAGCCAGGAATAGAAGTCTTCCGAGCCACGGCTTTGTCTTTATCTCACAGATATCGTCTATCATAACTGAACAGGTTGCTATCTTTTTTGTATCTGACATTTTAAAGATAACACGAGATTATCTGCATAAATTCTGGTTGAGCTTTTCAGTTTTTAGGAACCGCTGAAGAGGTCTAAAAAACAGATAAGCAGTCTTTAGTCCTGCAGTTTGTACCACCTTTACAAAGGCGCTGCCTCTTCGTGGTCCTGGCCAGTGCTACAGCTCCTACAGAACATTACTGGAAAGGAAGGCCAGGGAAGCCCCTGGATCTCCTTTTAGTATTATTATTTTTAATAAGAAGGATAGATAAGCTAAGCAGAATATTCAGAATTTAGGGTGAATAACAATAGTCTAAGCACTCTTGGGTTTTGCAGTTAATTGCACTTCACAGGCTCAGTGATTTGACTCCATGTACTGTCCCTAGGACAGCCCTGGGTCAGTCCAAAGGCAGGAATCTACTCAGTGGATGCTTCATCTCAGGAGCGGCTGATGCTGCCTAATGAGTGTGGCCGGCAGGGCGCCCTGGGCACTCACCAGTGGTACCAGTCATCGCAGTCGTCACACCCAATCATGGGACTCCCATCGTCAGGCTTGTTACACCCAGGGCAGATCCAGATCTGATTGCCCCACTCATCTCGGATCTGATGTTTGCAAAGCGGAAGCGGCAAAAATGGAGGGAATGGGAAAAAAAACAAAAAGAGGCCAGATCAGAATGATTACTTTATACTGTTAACCGAATAAACAGGCATATTAAACTAAAAAATATAGTAGATCAGCACTTCATTAATGCCATGATCAGCGTCATCACTGTTTTAGAATCAAGAAACAGAAAAACGCTAAGTGTTCAATGATAAGGCATTTCTAACGAATATTCTAAGCTTTCTTTTGTAAGTCATAAAAAGCATTTTATAATCATCTCTGTGAACAATATGACCTGTAACCCCTTTCATAAAAAAAAAAACTATAACTATGTAAATTCTTAATGATTTGGGTCTTTATAAGGGTGGTAACAACTGATTTTTTGAAAGTTATAGAGCTCCACTTTATATGTGGTTTTCTCAATCGCATTCATAGGCATGGAATTAATATAGACAGCCAAATGTGCATGCACCACCTTATTACTTATTAGCCAAGCCCTTCTCCTGAAGGAGCTGATAAGATCAAGGATATAAAAGAGTTGTTACTAAGTAACTTTCCATTCCCTTTATGACATTTTTAGTAAAGTACAATCAACTAAAGGGCAAATGAAATAAGGGGATAGGGAGGCCACAGAGCTACAAGGTTCAACATTATTTTGCTACAAATATTGTGTACTCTAGAGTTGACTTTATTTAACTTAGCAGTTCTAAAGAGGGAACATCCTATTCACCACTTCCTCAAACTTCACATGAACAGAGCCAACCTGGAAGAATTAATTCACTGATGGGCATTCAACACCAGCAATAAGAAAAAGGTAACTTCCAAAGTGTTTACAATAACAGAGCACATTATTGCATCCGGTTTATTTTGTAAGGGATAGTTCTTCCCAGACTTTCAAATACCACACTGACTAGACATGCTTTTAGAAAGGCTTTCTTTGTGTGTGACAGGTGCATTGGGGGTCCATATATGTTTCACTGTAGTGATGGGCTTCCTTTAAGGCAACTCTACAAAGGCAAACTACATTGACAGGAAAACTTCCTAAAGAAATCTGTGGGCAACTACATCTCTGACCCTCCGTAATTCCAGGAGAAAAAGTAACAAGGGGTGAGAACCAGCAGTCACCCGTACCTGCTGTCTAGAGGCCAAGGCTGGTGGAACATCCTATGCCCTGAAGCTCCCACGTGTGGCCAGTCCTGCTGCTGGCTGACCTTGCTTGAAGTCAGAAGGCCGTGACTCTGTGTGCCGCACAAGAACTTCACCACGGCATCCACAGCAACTAATACCAAATACCTCATAGCTTACTAAATTCTTCTAAACATCTCATTTCATTTAATCCCTGTAAAACAACCTCTGGGTAGCTTATGAATGGGGAAACCGGAGCTAAGGGAATTTAAGTGGCATTTCCAACATCACACCATTAGGCAGTGACAAAATTTGCCTTTTTGCTCTCTAGCCTTTGTATGTCATCTAAATCATAAATTTTGTCCTCTAACCACAAAGCGTCTCTCTTCATGAGGTAGAAAGCTTTTTTTAAATTTTCATTTTTATTTTAAAGACAGGGTTTCACTCTGTCACCCAGGCTGGAGTGCAGTGGTGTGATCATGGCTCACTGTAGCCTTGACCTCGGTAGGCTCAGGTGATCTTCCCAGCTCAGCCTCCTGAGTAGTTGAGACTACAGGCACATGTCACCCTGCCCAGCCAATTTTTGTATTTTCTGCAGAGATGGGGTCTCACTATGTTGCCCAGACTAGTCTCAACTCCTGGGCTCATGTGATACAGCTGCCTTGGCCTCCCAAAGTGCTGGGATTATAGGCGTGAGACACCATGCACAGCCAGTAAGCTTTCCATCTACATTGTCTATTCCAGTTGGACTCATCTCCAGGAAGTGAGTTAGCTCAAAGATCTACTGGAAAACCAGAACTTTTAGAGCTAGAACATGCCACAGAGATTACCAAGTTTAACACAAACTCCTTAATTACAGATGAAGACACGAAGGTCAAGGAGGTTAAGTACAAAATCTTTCCTGATCAACCCATTTGGGGGTGATGTTGCCTCTAATTAAACACCTACAATGATTGGTCCCCGAATGGACCAATTTGATGATCACACTTTTAGAAGTTCCTTCCAAAACTCCTTTAAGGAAATTTAATAATAGGCCAGGCGTGGTTGCTCATGCCTGTAATCCCAGCACTTTGGGAGGCCAAGGTGGAAGGACTGCTTGAGCCCAGGAGTTTGAGACCAGCCTGGGCAACACAGAGAGACATCATCTCCACAAAAACCAAAAACAAACAAACAAAAACAGCCAAGAAACAGCCAGTTGTGGTGGCAGACGCCTGTGGTCCCAGCTACTCGGGAGGCTGAGGTGAGGGGATCACTGGGGCCCAGGAGGTCGAGGCTGCAGTGAGTGGTATTGTGCCACTGCATTCCAGTATGGACAAGAAGAGTGAGACTACCTCAAAAGAAAAAAAGAAAACATAAAAAAAAGAAATGTAATATTGTACAGTTTATAACAACAAATACCATGAGTCCTACCCAGCCACTTTCCAATCATATTAGTACCTAGCTAGTTACAAGGTCAGGGCCACCAGTAGGCTAACACATCACAGTCTGCAGAGTTGGTAGTCACAGCAATGGCAATGGCTCCACACACCTTAAATATTTCGTTGTGTGTTTGTGTGTTTAATTCTATAGTATCCAAAGAACGTAATCTGTATAAACACTTTACTGCCAGAGTGTATTCAGGGAGTAAGAAACTAAAAAACAGTCCCAGAACAATGTGGACTCAGTGGACATGGTGGGATTTACAATTTTTTTTTTTCTTGAGATGGAGTTTCGCTCTTGTCCCTCAGGCTAGAGAGCAGTGGTACGATCTTGGCTCACTGCAAGCTCTGCCTCCCGTTCAAGCAATTCTTGTGCCTGAGCCTCCCGAGTAGCTGGGATTACAGGCACGTGCCACCATGCCCAGCTAATTTTGTTTGTATTTTTAGTAGAGATGGGGTTTCACCATGTTGGCCAGGCTGGTCTCGAACTCCTGACCTCAAGTGATCCATCTGCCTCAGCCTCCCAAAGTGCTGGGATTACAGGCGTAAGCCACTGCGTCCAGCTGGTTTTACAATTTGAAATCATGCTTGGATACTCAGGAGTTCTGTGGTCTCAAAGTTCATTTCCATTTAATATGCAAGCCCTGGCATATTCTGGATCATAGCCAATAAAATATAATTAGTGCTATTATTCAGAAACACTACCTGGCTCATAATATCAGTGTACATTCTATAAATTATACTCTTAAGTGAATAACTGAATTGCTTGATCAAGAAATTCAATGTGAGATTTCAGTACCACCATGCGTCTCTACATTTACAGATTGATATTACTGTATATATGCATATAGTCATATCCCAAAACAATATAAAAACAAGCTTTGATATGATTTATGGAGGCTGACTATGTGAACATTGTGATGTAACTTTTCAGCCAAAAGCTTGAAAATGCAGTGAAAAACTGCAATGAAGAAATGCATCTTGGCTGGGCATGGTTGTTCATGCCTGTCATCTCAGCACGTTGGGAGGCAGAAATGGGTGGATTGCTGGAGCTCAGGAGCTCAAGACCAGCCTGGGCAACATAGTGAAACCCTGTCTCCACCAAAAATACAAAAAACTAATCGAGAGTGGTGGTGACTGCCTGTGATCCCAGCTACTCAAGAGGTGGGAGGATCGCTTGAGCCTGGGAGGCAGGGGCTGCAGTGAGCCGAGATCGTACCACTGCACTCCAGCCTCGGTGACAGAGTGAAATCCCCTTTCAAAAAAAAAAAGCCGGGCACGGTGGCTCATGCCTGTAATCCCACACTTTGGGAGGCCGAGGCGGGTGGATCACCTTAGGTCAGGAGTTTGAGACCAGCCTGGCTAACACGGTGAAACCGTTTCTACTAAAAATACAAAAAATTGGCCAGGTGTGGTGGCACGTGCCTGTAATCCCAGCTACTCAGGAGGCTGAGGCAGGAGAATCGCTTGAACCTGGGAGGTGGAGGTTGCAGTGAGCTGAGATCTCACCACCGCATTCCAGGTTGGGCAATAAGAGCGAAACTCTGTCTCAAAAAAAAAAAAGAAAAAAAAAGAAACGTGTCTGGCCAGGGGCAGTGGCTCAGGCCTGTAACCCCACCACTTTGAGAAGCTAATGCAGGAGGATCGCTTGGGCCCAGGAGTTTGAGGTTGCAGTGAGCTATGATTGGGCCACTGTACTCCAGCCTGAGCCACACAGGGAGACCCTGTCTCAAAAATAATTAAGTAAATAATAAAATTTTGAAGAGAAATGCGTCTGAAATTCGATAGTGATTCAGAGCACACACTTGTCTCGATCTGAAAACGTCTCCATGCTAACCGCGCGGGCGGCAGGTACGCACCACGTAGGTGCTGACCGTCTCAGTCACCACGCTGCGCACGGGGGCTTTGGCACTGGCCCCGGAGGCGGCGGGACCCGGGGAGGGCAGCAGGGCAGGGCCCGCGGCGGCCTGGGCGAGCAGCGGCAGCGGCACGGGCGCAGGGCTGACGAGCATGGGGCCGGGGGCGGGCGCGGGGGCCGGCGGTGGGGTCTTCGGCCTGTTCTGCGAGGGCGCCGGCTTGGCCTCGGGGGCAGGGACCACCTTGCTGATGACACTGTCAACAAAAGAAGAGAAGGTAAAAGTCAAAACAGGATCATCATCGAACCAAACCCGTGCTTAAAAACATGATCGTAAAATAGCTTTTCTTCCAGTAGCGAAATACTTCAACGTCTAGAGGCAGCTCAAGAACTGAGTTCCAGGCCCTGCATGAAGTGGCCTCTCCACTTACTCAGACGAATTTTTCATTTTCCAAACTTCCCCTCAATGGCCAGACAGTTAGAAATTTCTAGCAACCAATACACATGCATTGTTCACAGAAATATGACTTCAATTGCCTGTTCCTGTGCTGGGGCAGAAGCTCTGACGGCTTCAGAGGTGGCGCTCCCCACCCCCACCTCTGCTGAGTCCTCGGGGGGGCCTGACAGGGGCTGCTCCTTCCACTGTGGCTCCAGCTGGAGAGGACCTGGAGCAGCCTGTGCTCCACACTGGAGATGGGCAAGAAAGACACATTTGCTGTTGGAAGCCCTTGAGATTTTTGGGTTGTTAATTACCATAAACCTAACCTGGCCTAAGCTGCTGGACAGAGCAGCTTAAAAAGAAAAAGTTTCTATTTCTCTCTTCTTAATTCCAATGTTTCTTCTTAATACTCTCAATGCCATTGTCAATAAAACTGTGAAGACTTTCTCACTTCTGGGTTTGGCTTTGATTGCCAGGTTTTAAAGATTGACCGTTCAGGCTGGGCAAGGTGGCTCACCCCTGTAATCCTAGCACTCTGGGAGGCCGAGGTGGGTGGATTACCTGAGGTCGAGAGTTCAAGACCAGCCTGGCCAACATGGTGAAACACCGTCTCTACTAAAAAATACAAAAAATTAGCCGGGTGCAGTGGCGTGCACCTGTAATTCCAGCTACTCAGGAGGCTGAGGCAGGAGAATCGCTTGAACCCAGGAGGCAGAGGTTACAGTGAGCCGAGATCTCGCCACTGCACTCTAGCTTGGGCTACAGAGTGAGACTTCGTCTCAAAAAAAAAAAAAAAAAAAAAAGATTGTTCCCAGACGGGCTGCAGAGGTAAGGAGGAGGTAATGCAGCGGCAGCTTCTGTCCTGGTGATGCTGCCGCAGGTCGCTAGAGCTGTGGTACTGTGACCCTGCTCCTCCACTAACAGCATCCTCTTCACACAACTCTCGCCAGTGGAAGCAGCTCTGGACTTGGGGCCAGGACATCTGAGTTCAAATTCTACAGCCGCCAGAGACTAGACCTGTGGCCTTGGATTACTCAATTTATTATAAAAAGCACTATTTATTGAGGACCTATAAGAAGTTAGAGGTTATACTAGGCACTTTACAAACATCATCTCATCCAGTCCTTATGAGAACATCAAAGAAGTAATGATTACCCCATTTTGTAGATGAGGAAACTGAAGATCAGCAAGAGAAAGGAATTTGAGTAAACGGGTGGCAGCTTTTGAACCAAAGTCTACTTGATTCCAAAGCTTGTTTTTAAGCTTCTTTATTAAAAAAAAAAGGTATATATATATATATATATATATATATATATATATATATATATATATAATTTCACACACAGAGAAAACAATATAACAGACAGTTAGGTAATAATCAGAGATAAAATATGTTAGCCTTTGCCATATTTGTTTCAGATGAACTTCCTTCCCTGCCCCAGAGCAACCACTGCCCTAAGACAGGTATGTTTTTGTTTATTGTTCTTGGTACTTTGTTTTTTTCTCTGTACCTTTCCTGCCTTTGTAGGTGTCCATAAACAATACATACTGCATTACTGTTTGCTGTCTTTTAACTTTTATACACACAATGTCACACTCCAGTTGTCCTCTGCAACTAGCTTTTCCCACTTAGTTTTATGTCTCCTGATTTATCCATGCTGACACATAGAGATCTATATTATTTATTCTAATTACTATATTGTATTCCATGGTATTAGTAAGCCAAAGGTTTTTGTCCATCATCCTACTGAAAGTAGGAGACATTCACTTGTAAACTTACACACTGACTCATAAATAGAACTGTTCAAGGACTTCTCCAAGCCCCATCCCTAGAAATGAAGTTTCTGGGCCATGGAATATGGCCATCCTCACCTCACCAGGAATTGCCAGCCTGTGGACTGTCCCAGCTTGTCTCTTTCTACTATTCCACACAATTCTTTAGGCCTTGTTTTTCTCAGCAACAAAGTGAAAAGAAATGCAGTGGCCTCAGAGGGTTGTAGTGAGAACCTCAATGTGGAGAAACACTTCAAAAACTGCATCCAGATGGGAACTGCCGGCCCCGTGCCATGTTCACGGCTGTTGCTCACGACAGCCTCTGGCCTCATTGCTGCCAGCCTTCACGGTTCCACTTCCTCATAGTCCTAGTTTAGAAACCACTTTCACCAAAAGGCACTGACTCTTTGCTATTCTGATCATAAATTCATAAAACATTAAGTTACTTCAAAAACTTCACCATTATTTCAGCAAGTAACTTCATTACTGCTGTCGAATTGTTCTCTATTTGTTTCCTGCAAGGGTGATCATCTTCCTAACTTGGATACAGCCAAAGATCAAGAGACTTTAGCACAGGCTTGTTGGTGCAGCAGACACTTCATAAATGCTTAACATCATAACCGATGAATATTTATTGAGCACTTTCTATATGTCTGACTGTCCTAAGCACTTGAAAGCCAATTGTGGGCCAGGCACCACTGTGTTAAATATTTACTTGCCTTGCCTTATCTAGGTTTTTTTTTTTTGAGATGGAGTTTCACTCTTGTTGCCTAGGCTGGAGTGTAATGGCGCAGTCTTGACTCACTGCAACCTCCGCCTCCTGGGTTCAAGTGATTCTCCCGCCTTAGCCTCCCAAGTAGCTGGGATTACAGGCATGCACCACCACGCCCAGCTAATTTGTGTGTGTGTGTGTGTGTGTGTGTGTGTGTGTGTGTGTGTGTGTATTTTTTTTTTCAGTAGAGACGGGGTTTCTCCATGTTGGGCAGGCTGGTCTCAAACTCCCGACTTCAGGTCATCTGCCCACCTCAGCCTCCCAAAGTGCTGAGATTACAGGCGTAAGCCACGGTGCCCGGCCTTGTTTGTTTTTCATAATGACCACATGAGGCAAGCTATTATTCTGCTTTTTAAACGAAGAAACCAAGGCACAGAGAGATTACGTATCTTGCATAAATTAACACAGGTTACTACTACATGGCAGGGCCAGGATTTAAACAAGGCAGTCTGATTTTAGAGCCTGTGATCTTAATAAGTATATGACACTGTCTCTCAATGTGTACTGAGGTTTGCCTTACATAAAAGGCATGTAATGTAGGAGTTCAAAGTTATCGCTATGGCATTTATATCCAGAGGGTAAGCATTCTCTATTTTTATGGTTAGACTAAAATTTTAAAACACTGCTTCTAGAGGCAGTTTCCCATACTGGTTGAACACACAAGTGATGGAACCAAAGCTAAAGGGAAAAGCAGGAACCCTGAGAGGTAAGCAGAACACAGATGCTTTACCCCAAGGGCATTTACGCATTAGGCAAGTCTGATATTTGGTTATGATGAAGAGGACGAATGTCAAAGCCCAGGATCTGCCCGAAGTGGAAGGTGTAATAGAACTCCCTCCCGACACTAAGGATTCCCAATGGGCTATACCCATAAGGTAAAGATGCACGAGAATGGCATGAATTTTCACCTCTGGTGTTCTAGGATACTTTAAAGTAATTTGGACTTGCAATGTGCCCAGGCACACAGCACAATCCTGAGGGGAAGTATCTTAAAATCTAGGTCTCATATTAATACAGATAATTATCTTTAAAAAAAATAAGCAGCACATAATCAAAGATAATCAAATCTATGAGGAAGTAAGGTGGGATCAGGGAAAACTGTTAAGAAATAACAGCTAGTATGAAGAGACAAAGACCACAGATACAAGAATTATCAACTATAAAACAACTTTGCTTACAATGTTAAAAAAATAATAAAAGGCAAAGGCTAGAAATATAGGTCGTAGGAAGTCACAGAGAGTGACTTGATCTAGTGGATTTGAAAAGAACCAAACAGACCTTCTAGAAATTAAAAAATACAGTAACTGAGATTTAAAATTGAAAGGAGGGATTTAACAACAGATTGGAAACAAGACAGAACTATAAACTGAGTATTAGGACAAAATAAATTTTCAGAGCATAGCCTAAGAAGCAAAGAGAATACAATAAAAGGTCTAATTAGTGCATGTTTGATCATAATTCTAGAAGAAAAATGGGGCAGAGACGAATGTTAACAAAGAGTACCTGAGACTTTTACAGAACTGACGAAAGATACCAATCCACAGATTTATGAAGCCCAACACACCCTAGGCAAGATAAATAAAAATAAATCTATATCTAGGCACATCAAAGTGAAGCTATAAAATATCATAGATAGAGAGGAAAAATCTGAAAGGCAGCTAGAGGGAAAAAAGAACAATTCCTCTCAAAGAAGAAACAGGTGACAGCTGACTTCTTAATTAGCAATGATGAAATCTAGAAGATAGTGGAATAACATCTTCAATGTGCTAAAGAAAAATAAATTATGTCTTTGAAAACATCTTTAAGGAATAAAGATGAAACAAAAACATTTACAGGCAGGCAAAAGCTAAGAATTTGCCACCAGCACATTTAAAAAAAAAAATTCTAAAGCAACAATTCTCAAATTTTTCGTCCTAGGGCCCCTTTAAATTCCTAAAAATTATTAAGAACTTAAAAAATGTGCACTATATCTGTCAATATTTACCATATTAAAAATAAAACTGGACCAGGCACATTGGCTCATGCCCGTAATCCCAGCACTTTGGGAGGCCGAGGTGGGTGGATCGCTTGAGGCCAGGAGTGATTCACCATGGCCAACATGGTGAAACCCCATTTCTATTAAAAATACAAAAATTAGCTGGGTGTGATGGCGCAGACCTGTAATCCCAGCTACTCCAGAGGAGGAGGCAGGAGAATCACTCAAACCTGGGAGGCAGAGGTTGCAGTGGGCCGTGATCATGCCACTGCACTCCAGCCTGGGTGACAGAGCAAGAATCGGTCTCAAAAAAAATAAATAAAATAAAATAAAAATAAAACTGAAAAGTTTAAAAATATTTAGTAATTCATTTAAAAGTAACGACAATGAACCCATTATATGTTAACAGATAACATTTTTTTTTATGAAAATAACTATATTTTCCAAGACAAAAAACTTGGTAATGACTGGCAATGTTTTGGTTGTTTTTTCTTTGATAATGGCGTCTTGCTCTGTTGCCCAGGGTGGTCTTGAACTCCTGGGCTCAAGCAATCCTCCTGCCTCAGCCTACCTAATAGCTGGGATTACAGGCGCATGCCACTGTGCCTGGCCAAGACTGGCAATGTTTTAAATTTTTGCAAATCTCTTTAATGTAGGCATATGTAACTAGAGAAGGGAGGAGTATTTTAAAAGATTTTTTGGATAATGGTGTAAGTTCTTCTTTAATGCTGCATTAAATGCAACAAATGATAGTTTCTTATAAGTTGGTTGCAATGTGTAATCTGAAATCATATCAACAGACATTCATATTCTGTTACATTAAAATTTATTGCTCTGTTTAGCACTATGAACACAAAATTTACCCATGCATAATTTTATAATGTCATACATTGGTCATTTGGAAAATACTGGTTCACTGACTTATAAAGATCTTCCAAGTGTTTACATAATTCATTACACAACATAATGATATGTAAGCCAGTAATGGGTAAACAGAGCTAAAGTATTTTAATGTCCCTCTATTATATAAACTGTAGTGTAAAGGTAGTGAATAAAGTATGGTAATTTCTAGGGTAACCACACAAAAATTACAAACAACGTATAATATGAGGAAAAAAGGAACGATAAAAAAAAAACCTTGGTCTGATAAAAGAAAAGAGAGAGAGAGAAAAAAAACCACTGAACACTAAAGAAGTAGCACAAAATAATAAGGTAGATTTCAAACTCAAAATATCAATGATTATATCACATAAAAGGTCTAAGTGATTCAGTTGTCAGGCTGTATAAACAGTGAAACCCAATATATTCTAATGCCCAGAGGAACATCTAGCAATAGAAGGGCTGAAAGTGAGAGGCTATAAAAAGATGTATACAAATACAAAGAAAAGTAATACCACACAAAAAAGACTTTAAGGCAAGAACCATCAGTGATAATAAAGGCTACTTCCTGATGATAAAAGGTTCCAATTTGCCAGGAAGCTATAACAGTTTAAAATTTGTATGTACCTAATAACATCTGCAAAACATATAAAGCAAAAACTGACAGAACAGTAAGAAACAGATGAATCTGCAATCATAGCCACAGATGTAAGCATATTTATCTCCCTGCATAACTGACAGAATAAGCAGTCAAAAAACCAGCAAAGATATAGGTTTGAATAAGAATAATGAAATTGACTCTATGGACATTTAAAAAAAATCTGTCTTCAATCAGTGCGGAATATTCATTCTTTTCTAAAATATACTGAACAATGAAAGAAACTGACCCAATTTCTTAAGGCTAAAAAACAATTTGAATAGTTTGTACACAGATTTGTTACCCCTGCTCTATCAGTAGTTCCTCAAAGGAACAAAAAGCCTTTCTAATTTCTATGTCCTCAGCTTTTAACATGATGGTTATTAAAATAAAATGTGTTAGAATTCAAACTAAGAAACAAAAGCTGATCCAGAAAGTAGTAATTTTCCAGATGACATGATACTTTTAGTGTATTTTTCTATCCATTCAAAATTATAGCTCCCGCCAAAAAGCATAATAATATGCTTTACGATGTGCGACGGGATAAAGCACAGGTGAGAGAAATACGGGATATCAATGAAAACAGAAAAAAAGAAAAGAGAAGAAACAGAGCAAGTGAAAGAATTACAATTTTAGGTCAGGAAGTGTGAGGACAACCCAGGCGTTTTCAGTTGTTGGTTAATGGAGTTAATTTCAGGGGCAGGAAAGAGAGAGAACAGAGGATGATAGGAAGAAGAGAGTTGTGATCAATAAATATGACTGCAGGCAAAAATAAGCCTGAAAATGTAAGTTATCAACAAGAGGAGGTTATTCAAGGGAAACATCTTCTATCTTACAATAGCCATTCACAGGATCGACGGATGGGGCCTTAGAAAACTGCTTGCAAAGAATTTGGTTGTCACTTCGTTTTAACTTTACTGTTTGCCGGCTGTTATAGTGGAAAATGTTTGTTGGAGGTAGAGACTGAAGCTATTGTCTACAATAATTTTCAGATGTTCATGTGCTTTACTATGCAATAATTACGCATGTGCAATTGAGAATTAGCTCAATTATGACTTGTTGGATGGTATAGTTAATTAAAAAAATCCCTCAAAATTGGAGCTGTATCACAAACCATAAATTCTAAACGTCTTAAAAATTAGGTAAAAGAAAACAAAACCATAAAAATTCCCAGAAAAGTAAGTAAATATAGATGTTTTTAGTCTTGGGGTAGGACACAATTTCTAGTATCTCACCAAAAGCTGAAACCATAAAGGGAAATGCTGATTTGACTGCACGACAATTTTATATGGCATAAAATAACCTCAGCAAAGTTAAAAGGCAAAAGACAAAGTGAAGCAAACTACTTGCAACAATAAAGCATTACGCCTTCTTATATAAACAGCTGTTGTGAATAAAAAAGAATTAATGTTCTTATTCAAACATGAGCAAAGGAAACAGCAAGTAGAAAATAGAATAAAAAAACCAAAACCAGCCACTAGACAAGAAAAAAATGTTCCATTTTCATAGTAATCAAAGATATAAACATGACAATCTAAGGCTTCTTTGGTAAAGATGAAAAAGATTGACAACACCTGGTACTGTCAGGCTAGGGGAAAGGGAGAGATGGTTGGTCCAGTATTTGGAATGATTATGGAAAACTTAAAAACGTGCAAGCTCTTTACCAGCAATTCCACTTCTAGAAATGTATCCTGAGGCAACATTAGACAGCTGTGTAAAGGTCTGGGGTAAAGAATATGATTTGTAGCACTGTCTATGGCTGCAAAAAATAAAATAAAAAAATAAAAACTAGAATAACTGCAATTTAAAATACCCTAGAATAGGAGATCGGTTACATAGATGATGAACAAACACCATGTTGTTATCTGAAGTGGTGATACACATGTGTGCACACACACAAATGATATGTCTATCCAAGAAAAAGGGAGGTGTAAGATGGAATTTTTCTAAGAAAATAAAAAAAGCAAACAAGAAGGTATGAGTGTATACTTAGAAAAAAGTTTGAAAGAATATATACTAAAATGTCCAGCAATTGCCTTTACATGAAAATTATAGATGTTTTATCTATTTATTTATTATTTGAGGCAGGGTCTCACTCTGCTGCCCAGGCTAAAGTGTGCTGGTGCAATCTTGGCTCACTGCAACCTCTGCCTCCCAGGCTTATTTGATCCTCCCACCTCAGCCTCCAGAGTAGCTGGGACTACAGGTGCGTGCCACCATGCCTGGCTAATTTTTTGTATACGTATTTTTTTGTGTGTAGAGACGGGGTTTTGCTATGTTGCCCAGGCTGGTCTGGAACTCCTGGACTCAAGTGATCCTCCCATCTCGGCCTCCCAAAGTGCTGAGATTGCAGGCATTAAGCCACTGTGCTGGGTGGATGCCTTTTTTCTCCTTTTGATTTATCCATAATTAACAAACATAACTTGCATAAAAAAAAGAAAAAGGCCGGGTGCAGTGGCTCACACTTGTAATCCCAGCACTTTGGGAGGCCAACACAGGCGGATCACCTGAGGTTGGGAGTTCGAGACCAGCCTGGCCAACATAGTGAAACCCTGTCTCTACTAAAAATACAAAAATTAGCTGGGCGTGGTGGTGCATGCCTGTAATCCTAGCTACTCAGGAGGCTGAGGCTAGAGAATCGCTTGAACCCAGGAGTGAGCTGAGATAGTGCCACTGCACTCTAGCCTGGGCAACAAAGTGAGACCCCGTCTCAAAAAACAAAAAACAAAGCAAAACAACGAAAAAGATGAAAATGCCTGTTACAATGTATACGTCTAAACTGTTGCTAGGAATTTTTAAGGATGGCTTGAGTTATACACTTAAAATTAATTCACTTTTCTGTGTGTATGTTACACTTTATTAATTTACTGGGGAAAAAATGATAGCTTGGTTAAAAAGCCTTCCAGGCAAATGTTGACCATAGTCTAGTCCTACTATGATTTTGTGAAATTCAAAGCTCTGAGTGAGATCAAGGAGCTGCACAATCGAGTGCGTCTAAGTTGAGTGCATCATCCATAGCAGACCAACAAGGACAGGGTCAAAGGAGGGGGAAGAGAAAACCTCCTACAATGATGGTATTTTCGTACATAAAGTAATACATTTGGGCTGGGCACGGTGGCTCACGCCTGTAATCCCAGCACTTTGGCAGGCCAAGGCAGGAGGACTGCCTGAGGTCAGGAGTTTGAGACCAGCCTGGCCAACATGGTGAAACCCCAGTTCTCCTAAAAATACAAAAATTAGCCGGGCATGGTGGTATCCACTTATAATCCCAGCTACTTGAGATGCTGGGGCGGGAGAACTGCTTGAACCTGGGAGGCGGAGGTTGCAGTGAGCCAAGATCACACCTTTGCACTCCAGCCTGGGAAACAAAGCGAGACTCCATCTCAAAAAAAAAAAAAAAACTTCTTTCTTTCTTTCTTTCTTTTTTTTTTTTAACAGCCTTTAGACATTAAGGTTGGTACGTAGTTTTGGGTCTTGCCTTTTCAAAGAAATACATTGCCCATAGTTGCTTTGTGTCCCAGTTGTGTGCAGATCTGTCTCTCTCATCCACATTAGACAGTCAATTTCCTAAGAGTAAGATTTGTATCTTGTCTTTGGATTACTTGCAGTATTAAACACAGCAGCTCAAGAAATATTAATCAGCTTTAAATAGAATACCTACTACTGCAGTGAGAACACTTCTGTAAAAGAATTATTTTTGCCTGTTTAAAATATTTTAAAATACAAGACCATTTCCTCTGTTCTTTCCTCCCTGCCTACCTTCCTTCCATCTGCTTAATGAGTCACAGGACCACTGAGATTTCTGTTTGCCAACACAGATTCCACTTCCTCAGCCACCTAGTCATTCCCAACACCAGGTACAATCAGATCCTGAAGGCTTTGTTCTGTTTTCCGGAAATGGTTTTACATTGTTTTCAGCTATACCAAACACATAATGAATATTATTTGCCTTACCTGACTCTTTTCCAGTGCCCTTTAATTTTCTCCCTACATTTCTTTCTTTTTTTTTCTTTTTTTTTTTGAGATGGAGTCTCACTCTGTTGCCCAGGCTGGAGTGCAGTGGCGCGATCCCGGCTCACTGCAACCTCCACCTCCTGGGTTCAAGCAATTCTCCTGCCTCAGCCTCCTGAGTAGCTGGGATTGAGGGCATGCATCACCACACCCGGCTGATTTCTGTATTTTTAGTAGAGACGGGGTTTCACCATGTTGGCCAGGCTGGTCTCGAACTCCTGACTTCAGGTGATTTGGCCTCCCAAAGTGCTGGGATTACAGGTGTGAACCACCATGCCCCACCTCTCCCTATGTTTCCTACATTTCTCCCTTACCTATAAGGCCTGATAATGGCGCCCATTAGAATGGCTTAAAATTAGCAGTGTGGCCAACAGATAGAAACAGATTGTTGACCAATTTTATGGGTTAATAGTTAAAATCTCAGAAATGTCTGCTTGTGCATATGTTCTCATTTTTTTCAATTTAGAGAAATGACATTTTGCTAAAAATAACTTTGTAATAATAAGATAATCCTTCAAAAATGCCTAACATTCCCAGTTCAATTACATTACCCCTTTTAAATTTATATATATATATATATATACATATATATATATATATATATATAGTTCTCACTCAGATTTTCTGAGTAGTAAAAGAAAAAACATTAAAGTGGCTACTCAGTGTTGACAAGACAAACTTTTATCCTAACTTTTTGTTTTCAAGGGGTTAGACTGGTGTAGAGGCACTAAAGTAACCCATTTTTCCCAACTCTTTTGAAATTCAAGAGAAAATTCACTGGAGTTTGAAAGTTTGACTTAAGCTAAGGTTATTTTTGTGATGACCGAAAACAGTTTTAAAAACAATCCTTTTAATTTTAAACAAAACAGAAAAACATTTAACAGTATAACATGATATAATTTTTCATCACTTGTGAGATAAACTATCATCACTTAATCTAAATTGATCGTTGTAAAAATAATTTTGAATTCCTGCTGGCCTTTATTGCCAACCATTATTTGTTTCATACTTCTAGACGGTGCTTTGCTTCTCTATATTTTTCTCTCTGAAGTATCCCTTTTTCTCTCCTGTTTAATTGCATAGTAAGTTCTCGTCCAGAGCTTTCTGTTGAATAAGCAATGTCTCACAGAGAAACCAATACCGCCCACAGCTGGTCCCACAATGGCTCCATGCTGCCAGCATTACAGCTTTTGGAGGATTTGATCACAGTGCCCTCACTGCTATAAACACTGGCGTTATTCATAAAAACGTGCAGAAGGAGGGATTTTCAGCAGGATTTCTTTACCTGTTTCCCCACCACAAACCAGTGACATAAATAGAATGGGTCATGAGCTGCTTGGCCTGTAATGCAAACTCACAGCTTGTCAAGTCAATAAAGAGCCCGTCCTCACCTCCCCAGCTGCACAGAGCCTCCAGGGTTAGCAGCAAACACAAGTTGGATATGTCTGCACAAGAAGTTTAATGATCCTCATTATTCAGCTATTGTGTGCAAACACGATGAAACCAGTAATCCAAATTATCAAAGTCTGAATAGCTGGCTACTAAACTGCACACAAAGTTCCTAAGTTCCCTTACAATGGCTTACTTATTTACTTCTAAAAGTGAACGGCCATTATTAAATGGTAACAAAATGATGCCACAGGTAAAAACTATCGCAACCACTTCCATGAATTTTATAGAAACTTTTGAACAGGAAGTTCAACATTTGGGAGGAAAATCAGGTCGATGAAAAAACATATTGTTTACACCAAAACTTACTTTTCTTCTTCAGATTTCAGTTTTTGATCAATCTCAGAAATACCAACCACCTTGAGAAACAGATTCCCATGTTGTATTTTAAACTAACCCTCTCCTCGGCTGGGCCCAGTGGCTCATGCTTATAATCCCAGCACTTTGGGAGGCTGAGGCAGGCAGACTGTGTGAGCTCAGGAGTTTGACACCAGCCTGGGCAACATAGGGAAACCTCGTCTCTACAAAAATACAAAAATACAAAAAAAAAAAAAAAATAGAGTGTGGTGGTGCGTGCCTGTAGTCCCAGCTACTTAGGAGACTGAGAAGGGAGGATAGCTTGAGCCCAGGAGGTGGAGGTTGCAGTGAGCTGAGACTGCACTATTGTACTCCAGTCTGGCTGAGACCCTGTCTCAAAAAAAATCCCAGAGTGAGACCCTGCCTCAACGTAAGAATACAGATAACACAAAAAAAACCCCCCTCACAACAAATACAAAAAAAAAAGACATTGAAATGTCACAATCATATTACTATAAAACCTCATATCTGGATCAGTGATACACACATACACATAATCTCCATATTTTTGCTTTCTGATTTTTATGAAAAGCCCCAGAAATACTAAGCCCAAGTGTGGTGGTTGGCCTCCTGGCATTCACACACTGGCACAGTTCCCTCACGGACTGGACAGGCTGAGCTGGATGGCTGGCAGCACATGGTGAAAATAACCACGTCACCTCCAAGGATAGGTCATAAAACAGGCTGTGGCTTCTATGGGGACAGCCAGCTACACTGTGGGGAGGATGCTGAAGCTGCCTTATGAAGAGGTCCCCGGAGCCTCCTGCCGACAGCTGTGCGTGAGCTTGAAGCGGCTTCTCTACCCTCACAGAAGCCTCTGGATGCCTATGGTCCCAGTCACCAGCTTGCAGACAGACCTGAGCCAGAACCACCCAAATCCCCAACCACAAGAAACTAGGAAGCAACTGATGTTTATTGCTTCAAATCACTAAGTTTCAGGGTCAATTATTATGTGGAAATAGAAAACTAACACACCAGGTGTTCGATTTTTCTAACTTAGGTATGTAAATAAATATTCAGAAGTTGGAAGAAATTATATTTAGAGTACCAGTCCTTAAGACGCCAAACTGTAACACAGTCATTTCCATATTTCAGATTGGATCAAAAAACACCAAATACCCAAAGACAATTATGAGAATCGGTTTTATGTTGATTCTTCAAGTCAATCGTTATTCCTTATTCTTCTTGATCCTCACAGCTCAAATTTTAACATTCATATAATTATAACACAACTATAAATGGATTTAATTCCTGAAGCTCGTGGCCTGCCTCTTTAATATTTACATCATCTCATAAAATGGTTATTTTATCTTGTCATAACTCAAGTACATATCAAGTAGCAAACATTTTATCTTTTAATGCAGGCATGACCTATTTGAAAAATGAAACAAATTGCATGAAGTAATTAGGGGAAAATATAGCCATTATAGAATCTCCATTTCCAAGGGAGATGCTTAAATGATTACACTTCTATTGTCAAATGTTCCGAATCATAAAATCTCTAAAAGGGCATTAATATTCAGGTAAGAAATATATAATCCACATTTCCTCATATTTGCAATGAGATACACTAGAAAGATAATAATAAAAAGGAAACCAAAATGGCAACCTATAGAATAAGGAGTATAAAGGTCATAGGGAAAAAGGCATGAAAGCAAGACTTCTCTGAATGTATTTTGTTATACAGCTTCCACTTTGGAGTTAGGTAAATGGTCCACATATTCAGAAAGTTAAGTTTTAGAAAAATTCCTTATGAATCAAAACTAGATGAAATGAATGAACCTCAATGTATATCAAGCTGATGACATAACCATGTAGAAACAAAAATAATTACAAGTGACTCTAGGACAGCATTTTGTAAGCATATCCATAGTGAAATGTATTTTAAGAGCAAATGCTGAAAAAAACCTTAGTCTTTAACTTCATTTAATAATCTTGGTGGTAGTAGTGATAGTGGTACTATTACTTTTAGGCTATTTTATATAATTCTTGTTGAATAACTCAAATAATTATAATAATGCTCTTAAGACTCAGGATTTCTTTTTTCTTTTTTTTTTTTTTTTTTCTTTTTTTGAGACGGAGTCTTGCTCTGTCGCCTGGAGTGCAGTGGTGTGATCTCGGCTCACTGCAACCTCCACCTCCTGGGTTCAAGTGATTCTCATGCCTCAGCCTCCCGAGTAGCTGGGATTACAGGCATGCGCCACCACACCCAGCTATTTTTTTTTTTTTTTTTGGTATTTTTAGTAGAGACAGGGTTTCACCATGTTGGCCAGGATGGTCTCGATCTCCTGACCTTGTGATCTGCCTGCCTCAGCCTCCCAAAGTGCTGGGATCACAGGCGTGGGCCACTGTGCCTGGCCAAGACTCAGGATTTCTAATGTGAAAGAAAATATGTGGCTGGGCGCAGTGGTTCAGTCTGTAATCCCAGCACTTTGGGAGGCTGAGGTGGGAGAATCGCTTGAGCCCAGGAGTTTGAGACCAGCCTGGGCAACACAGTGAGACCTCATCTCTATTTTTTAAATAACAATAAATAAATACGTAACAGTAATATTAAATCTGAACTGGAAACAGTATAAACTCATAGTTTTTTTTCTTTTCTTTTCAAACCCATCTATTTCCTATTTCTGTCCCTTGTAAAGGCCTAGAATAATGACATCCCAGTAGCAATGGGCATCTCTAGTGACAGATTATGATTCCTAAACACCATTCATCATCAGAAGGAACCAATGTTCCTTGGAGAAATTGCTAATTCCAGATCTGTGGAAATACACAAGAATATACAGGAAATATGCAAGATAAACCTGGAATTTTTTTTTACCAGAAAGTAAGAAAGCTATCCAACACAAATGAGGTTGTGTCGAAACCCAGTAGGCAACATGAAGGAATTCACGTTGGTCAAGATGGTACAATATGAACATGAAAACAAAAGAGAAAGAGAAAGAAGAAGGGGGACAAAGGAAGAGGGGAAGTGGGAGAGAGAAGAAGGGGTAGGGGGAGCAGAGAAAGAGAGAGGGGGAGGGATGGGGGAGAAAAAGAGACAGAGAGAGACAGAACCCTTCCCCTTTCCAAAACCCTATGCTCATCACTGGAGATAACTATATCAACTCCATCAACTCTTTTCACTGAAGACTGGCAAGTAAAAAAAAAAAAAAAAAAAAAAAAGATTGTATATTTATCCTGCCTCTCCTGTATGAGGTGTATTTCAGGGTCGCTGAGGTTCACCTTTAGGGATGAATTTCAGCTAATACATGTGAAAGGAATGACTAGATTAAAAAATAATTTCCCAATGAAATCATTCAGTATCACTAAGAATGTGACAATCAGACATTCCATGCCTACTGATCTGAAGTAATAAGAAGTATATAGCAGCAAAATACCCTTTAAGAAAAAAAGAATGAACTTAAATCTAATCAAGCACTTAGGACTAAATGCCAGTTACAGGGATAGAACAATAATTTAAATGACACTACGAAGAAGTAAACAGACAAATCCAGAAAGTGAGATATTCTGCTGAACAAAAGATCTGGTTTCTTAAACAAATCAATTGCATGGCAAAAAGGAAGCGGCTGGGCATGGTGGCTCACGCCTATAATCTCAGCAATTCGGGAGGCTGAGGCAGAAGGATTGCTTGAGCCCAGGAGTTTGAGACCATCCTGGGCAACACAGCAAGACCCCATCTCTACAAAAAATAAAAAAATTAGCTGGGTGTAGTGGCATGTGCCTGTAGTTGCAGCTACTTGGGAGGCTGAGGTGGGAGGATGGCTTGAGCTCAGAAGTTCAAGGCTGCAGTGAGTTATGATCGTACCACTGCATTCCAGCCTGGGCGACAGAGTAAGAACTCATCCCCTTCCCCTGCAAAAAAGGAGGAGGAGCGTAGGAGTGTGGATTAAAAATAACAGGTCTAGATTACAAGTCCTTATGAGATATAAGTCTGGTTTGGATCCTGGTTAAACTGTTGAAGATATTTTTGAGACAAATAAAGATATCTGAATATGGACCAGGTATTAGATGGTAACAAGGAAAATGTCTGTATATTTTATGTATGATAATAACGTTGTGATTATATGAGAAAATAACCATATTTTTAGAGTTGCATACTGAAGAATATAGAGGTGAAATGATATTAAGTTTTGAATTTGTTTGGAAATGCGTTGGGAATAAAAAGACAAAAAGAATCAAGTATGGCAACATTTTGATAACTGTTAAATCTATCCAAGTTGCCAGCAGATGAAAGTGTATCATTTTACTCTTTTATGTTTGAAAATATTAATAAAAACTTTTTTAGAAGTTGGTAATATGCGTTCAATCCAGAATGATTTCAGATCATTAATCATAAAACTAGGGCACATATGAACTACTAGGTCAACAGAATACTACGGAAATTTCTTAGGGGAAAATGTGCATTCATTATTTCACTCCATACATCTTTGCTTTTATTTTTTTCTTCACATTTCTCCATTTCTAAATTTTACTCACTCTAAAGGGCTCTACTCAAATTCTACTTTCCCCAAACCTCTTTAGCCCTTCCTAGTTGGGAGTAATCACCTTGAACTTCTTTATAATTTTAGATGTATCTCTTCCAGCCTTTAACACTTCCTACCGTCTACTGTGATATTTACTTATGCTCCTGAGAGAATTAACATCTGATCCAAATTCACTATTTTCAAGTCTACTACCTTTGACATGGTTACATTATGTATGTAATCAAAATCAGTATGTGTTAAATGCAGATCAACTTTTCAAAATGTAAACCCAGAGAGTGTTGTCTGGGGTACTTTGAGGGTTCCTTTCAAAACCAAATTCTCTGGAGTCAGAACTTCTAAAAGATTTTGTGATTTCAGAAAGGCTTTTGCTGCTCTGCAGCAAACAAGAGGGTGCTTTTACTATGAAAAAGCAAAGCCAAATGAAATTGAACATTCAACATGGATGAAACTTTACTTTCTGTAGTCCCTGAGCCTACAGTCTATAGAGGAGGATGGGTAATTATTTAGTAAAAGATGCTTTCACATGAAAATGAATTTGTAAGTTAGCCATAAAAGATACACCTTTACTTTTTATTTTTAGGATCAAATGACATCCCAAGTTATTTGAAAACATTAAAGGTAATAAGATGATATGCAGTGAACTTGAAAAATGAACAAGATTGTGATTAAGATTTGTATCTCACTGGAGAGTTATAAAATTCAGTTATTACTGAAGTCATGCTTGGAAAATCCAACATTACCACTTCAAAATATATTAAAATTCAAAAAAGCTGCTAGGTCTTCACCAAAATCACCATGCTTTATATGAATTCTTATTGTACTTTGTAAATAGGATGGAAAAAATATAGTGTATATATACTTATTTAGAGCATGTGATATAGACACACACATACATATACATATATTCATCTGTGTGGGCTAAGAAGTGACTATATATGTTTATGTATGCATGTGTGTATGTGTATAAATCTATATCACACTCCTGACCTTTGTGCTGTCATTCTGCTCTGAGATTGCCTGTTTAATATTATATCTCTGTTAATAAACAAATGATCTTCCAAAATGAGAATGAAGAGGATTTTAACAATTTGTTTGGGAAAAAAAACAATGGTGCAATAGTAACTGTAAAATATAAGATGAAATAAAATAATGTGTTTTTCCATACTGCAAAGAAATAAATTAGTTACAAAAACATTAATAAATTATTTAATGAATAATCATTTGAGTTGCTTTAGAATTTAAATAATTTTTATGAAGATTAATTTTAAAAAAAGGTGTCCAAGGGAGTTTGAAGCAAAACCACACACACACATACACACTTATTATATATACATGCATACGGATGTGTATGTATGTATATGTGTGTGTGTGTATCTATACATATATATGTATGTATCTATGTACATAAGAAAGTTTCCAAAATTTTCTCTGAGGCAAGACGAGACGACTGAAATTATTACACTGACTTCAGATTCACATGAAAGATCATTACAAAAGAGAAAAAAAAGAAAAGAGAAGGTCACTGCAGCTCCTAACCTTGAAGGTCTTAAAAGGGTTGAAGGCATCTGAGAGCTGCTTTGGGTCCCAGCCCTCTGTCTCCTCCAGGTTCTGCCCCTAACATCTAGGACTACGGAGAGGGGCTCGAGAAGTTTCCAGCCTCAGCTGCAGGGACATGACAAGCAGGCAGGACAGTGAGTCAGCCTGGTGTCTTCTGTGAGGAGGTCTATGGGATAAGGGCTCAGAGCAGGACTCTCTAACGCACCTCCTGTGCTCCTCTTCCTCTTCACTCCACTCCCACCCATGTCAACAATACAGGCCCTACAGAGACCTTTGAACTGATGGGGAATCTCTGAATTGTTTTAATTTAGATGTAAAGGGAGCACAAATAAGCAGAACAGCCAAATGCCAGACAATCTAAAATGCATTTCTTATTTAAGAGCCATTTTTCTTCTTTTAATGTATTTTCTTTAAAACTATATAATAACAGTAGAGCACATGTACTGATTTACAGATGTATGCATGCATACAGAAAAACAGTTCATGCTAGCAAGGCGAGAAAAAAGATGTAGCGGTCATTCAAAATTTACCCTGACCACGTACTTTGAAGGCAGCCTCCATATAAAGCAGATACAAATTTCCTTGTATTAAATTATAAGCTAAATAAACAAAATGACAAAAACAATAAAAAGGTAGCCAGCCATTCTGCCTTGCTCACTTGGCTTTAAATGGTTTGATGAGAAAAAAAACTAGAACATGGCCATTTACCACTCACAATTGTGATTTACTCATTCTGTTCATTCCGTTCAGAACAAATAACCCTAATGGCATTAGCGACTCTCAAGGTTCCTCAGTGTTTTAGCAGAACTCACGTATTCATATACAGATCAAGCAGCATTTCTCAGTTGGGTTATAACACACATTAGAGATATATTCAAAACCAGGCTAATATCAAACATTAGCCAGAAGTGCTCTACTAGTTAATCTAAACTAGAAACTAAAACAATCTCTTAAAAATAGATACAGTTAATTTTAACTGGGTCTCTTAGAAAAAATATAATTTTAAAGGGAATTTTAAAGATCTTCTAATTATAATAAACTTTAGAAAAATATTATATTCAAGATGCATGTACAAAGTTATAAAAATAAAACCAGGTAAGTATATGATATCACAGCCAGAGTTGACATACATATACCAGGAACATTATGCTCCAAACTTTGGCCAATGGACCAGTACCAGTCACCATCTCATTTTTACCTAACTAACAATCATTCTCTGCATCTGGGGTCAAAGGGTTTTATACCAAACGCCGAGATATTGTTAAAGAAATGCTGAAGCTTATGATTCAGCATGGGAAATATTGGTAGATCAGAATCTCCAGAAACTAGGATGTTAGCTTTTAAATATGCCCATACAGTAAGGTAACACAAATTTTGTAATTTCTATCAAAAGTTTTAATTTAGAATCTATGATGTATACAGAACCATGTGCAAAAACAATATTACATTTGACTACGCAATATCGTGATACTTAAAAACGTATTTCATAGGAAATTTAAAACAGCAACACAATTTATATTAGGAATGATTCACAAATAAATAATGCAAACAGATGTTTCTCAGCACCGTGAAATATATATAAGTAAACCCAATGGCTTCCAGCATTCAGCATACCAGAGGTCTAGGCTCAGGGCATCTGCTGGGTTTGCCTGTCTCTACACAGCACCCATTTGCCTTGCCCCTGCCTTCAGCCCTCTCTCTCTTCCTTCTTTCTGTCCATGTGGCCTGAGTGGGCTTTATCCTACCTCTAGATCCAAGCAACACATATAAGCCAGGCCAATCAGAGCCACCGTGTCTCCACAGGCACAGTGATTGGTTCAGGCTGGTCACGTGATCTCAGCTGGCCCACTGAGAGCTTGCTCTGGGACTTCCAGGCCCATTTCCTCTGGGTTGAAATCTTGGTAGATCACATGCTTTGAATTCACAATAGACCAGCCCTGCCACCACTTGGGGCAAAGCTAAGTCTGATAAAACATATTTTATAAAACACCAGGAAAGAATCTATAAAATGACTAAAAAACAGGCAACAAATAGGACACACATTTTTTTTACAGAAAAAATTTTTACTGTGATATTTATATAAAAATAAACTTTTAAGTGCAAAGTACAAACAATGTACCATTTTACACAGGGATTTATAATAGATACTTATTTCCAAAACAGAGGGGTACTATAAAAAAATAAATAAATAAAATAAAAAACAAAGAAAATGCCTACTTGATAATCTTGATTTTTTTTTTTTTTTTTTTCTGAGAGACAGAATCTCACTCTATTGTCCAGGCTGGAGTGCAGTGGTGATCACAGCTCACTGTAGCCTCAAACTCCTGGGCTCAAGTGGTCCTCCTGCCTTAGCTTTCCAAATGGCTGGGACTACAGGTGCACACCATTATATCTGGCTTCTTTTTTTTTTTTTTTTTTTTTTTTTTTTTGAGACAGGGTCTCACTCTGTTGCCCAGGTCTGAAATGTAGTGGCACAATCTTGGCTCACTGCAACCTCTACCTCCTGGGTTCAAGTGATTCTCCTGCCTCAACCTCCTGAGTAGCTGGGATAACAGGTGTAATTTCTGTATTTTTAGTAGAAACAGGGTTTCACCATGTTGGCCAGGCTGGTCTCGAACTCCTGATTTCAACTCATCTGTTTGCCTTGGCCTCCCAAAGTGTTAGGATTATAAGCGTGAGCCACTGTGCCCAGCCCCGGATATCTTTTTAATATTTTGTAGAGACACGATCTTGCTATGTTGTCCAGACTATTCTCAAACTCCCAGCCTCAAGCGATCCTCCCGCAGTGCTGGGATTATAGGCATGAGCTACCCTACCCAGCCCTGATAACCTTGATTTAATAGCAGTAACAACATCAAATATATTGGCCTTAAAAACTGTTTTTAAAAATTGGTTACTTATAAACATTACTTACAAACATAAGTTACTTATAAATATTATGACTAAATTCATAATATTTCCCAGGTTCCTTCACAGATGAATTTGATACATGTACTCCAAAGCACAAACACTATCACAGAGAAGGCAATTCTCTGTAGTATTATGTTCACATGAGTAGTGCACTTAATGAAGAAAAACTCACCTGAGACGGAGCCAGCACCAAGGACCTACAGATTTCAGAAGAGATCTGGGAATAGCCTGAATAAAGATGTTAACTATTCTTCAACCAATAGCTTCCCCCAAAGAAGAAAGGATTTCTATGAAATGAACTCACAGGCCCACGAGGGAGAAGAATGGATCTAGCTTTTCATATAAATTCACTACTAGTTGCCCAGAGTCTTGCTCAATTTTAGAACAATAGGATTTCACTAATTCTTCTTAAATATAGGGTCATTTCATCCTCATGTACGGCTGGTGAGAATTTTAATTGGTATAGCCTTTTAGAAGATAATTTGGCATAATAATCTCTTAAACATTTTAAATGTTTACATTCTTTGACCTAGTAACACTGAATAAACAAAAATCTATATATGAGGATGTTGTTTCTTTATTTGTTATAGCAAAACCTTTGACAACTTAAATGTTTGAAAACTGGTGACTGGCAAGATAAATGATGATACAACAGTAAAATGAAATACCATGTCATACAGACATGGAAAAATGTTCATGATCTGTTAGAGGGGAGGGGATAAGCTGCTGAACAGTATGTGTAAGATAATTCTAAGTTCTTTTTTTATTTTTTTTTGAGACAGGTTCTCACTCCTATTGCCCAAGCTGGTGTGCAGTGGCATGATCACGACTCACTGTAGCCTCGATTTCCCAGGCTCAAGTGAAGCCTCAGCCTCCTGAGTACGTGGGACTAAAGGCACATGCCACCATACCTGGCTAATTTTTCTATTTTTTGTAGAGACAGGATCTTGTCACGTTGCCCAGGCTGGTCTTGAACTCCTGGGCTCAAGTGATCTGCCTGCCTTGGCCTCCCAAAGTGCTAGGATTATAGGTGTGAGTCATCATGTCCAGCCCCTAATTTGTTTTTATAAAAATTGCTGAAATACACACGGCACAGTCAGCAGTGATTAACCTGGGGGAAGGGTGAGATGTGGGGGAAACTTCTGCTTTCTAGGTTACATATTTTGAAGCAGTTAATCTGTTCTTTGAAAGCCTATTATGTCCTGATCAGACTTTTAAGTGTTTTGCTTCTCAGATCTTCTTATGTAATCTTCATTTATTAAAATCCTAGCTACATATCCTTTTTTCCCCTGTTTCTTAGCTGAAGGTATCTTTGCTTGGGGTGAGTTATGGATCCCTGTGAATAAGGATATGGACTTCTTTCTCTCATTGGCTGCTACTGACCTGACCATTTGTGTCTAGACAAGGAGGAGACAGCCAAGCTTGAAGATGCTGAGCGGAAGTTACAAGATGCTGAGAGTCCAAGTGAATATCAAAGGAGACTTCTAGGACAAGGCCTTTCCTTGGTTTTGTTCAGCTTGGGAAACTTTTGGAGCTAAGAAGACATTTATCTTTGTTTTCAGGACACCCAGTCTGACATTATGACATAAAGAAAATCTCCCAATTCTATTAGATAGTTTTTGCCTCCATTCAAGTTACCCTAATGCCCAAAATGGCTTGAAAATGGAGGCACTGGTCTCATCACCAACATATACGAAAAAGAAGAAGAACCACACTGGCGGAAATAATGCTGGGTTCAGTTTTGGAAATGCTATTTTTGAGGTGCTGCTGGTTCACCCAGGCAGAACTTTCCAGTAACTTGGCAGATTAGTCTGACTCTTGAAGGAGAAATATGAGCTAGTAATAAAGAAATGGGAATCATCATTGCATAACAAACCTAAAGAGAAAATGAGAACATTTACGAAGAAGAAACAGAGTTACTGTACCAAGGGCAAAAAGAAAAGAAGGGGGAAAAAAAATAAGTCCATAAAAGAAAAACAAAAGGAATCCATGGTAAGAGAGAATGAAAGGCTGGGCATGGGGGCTCATGCCTGTAATCCCAGCACTCTGGGAGGCCGAGGTGGGTGGATCACATGAGGTCAGGAGTTTGAGGCCAGCCTGGCCAACAAGGCGAAACCCTGTCTCTACTAAAAATACAAAAATTAGCTGGGTGTGGGGGCGGGTGCCCATAGTCCCAGCTACTCGGGAGGCCAAGGCAGGAGAATCACTTGAACCCAGGAGGCGGAGGCTGCAGTGAGCCAAGATCACACCACTGCACTTCAGCCTGGGCCACAGAGTGAGATTCCGTCTCAAAAAAAAAAAAAAAAAAAAAGAGAGAGAGAATGAGAGACTGAGTCTAGCGTAGTACCACAAAAATCAAAGGAACAGGAAGTTTCTGAAAGGGCTTAGGGGACAGTGTCCAAACGGCAGACCGGGTTTGTACAATAAGAGCTGCTGCATGTTCTCTGGAACTGGGAATTGGGAAGCATCTAATGGTCTTAACAAGAAGCTGTAGAAAAGTTTCTAGGGCAGAAACCAGAATACAGAAGGTTTAGGAGTGAACAATTAGAAGAAAGTAAAACTAAAGAATAAGTTTTGAGAAGCAGCATGAAAAGCAGATGTTACATAGCCTTTTTCTCATACAGAGGGAAGGCTTGATGAAGGTGAGGAGGGTTAGCATGGGAGAATGAAAGGCTGGACAAAAATGAGAAAAAAGAAGAGGAAGACACAGAGGAGAGGAGCTAAGAGAGGGAACGAAGTTCCAGCCGGGGCAGGCAAGGTAGGAATGGAGGCCAGCAGCTGAGGAGGGCTGACCATAGACACATACTCTTTCCTAGAGCCTGGACGACAAGCCGTGGGGGATGTAAGAAGGTTTGGAACCCAAAAGGCAAGTCTAATCAGCTGGGGTAACATGGCGAGGCAGTTCCACATGCTGAGACTTGTGGCTACCACATTAAAAAAGACTGTGCATATTCTAAATGACAGCAGTCCTGCAGTGACGTGGATATTCACTCTAGAAGCTATGCAGGCAGGCGTGGGAAAAGCGAAGAGATGTTGCACCATGCAGCTGCAATCTTTATGTAAGTATCTGAACACAGTATAGGCCCATAACATAACAGGAAATAACAGAATGCAAAGGATTGAAACGTTCCATGTTCTTGGTAATAAAGAGTGCCTAAGTGTTTTCATCTGTAGGAAACATATTCTTTTTTTAAATGCCAGAAGTGTGAGTAGTTTGATCTTTAGGAGAAATTATAATCAGATAGCATCCAAAAGGTTTCCATGATACAGCTAAATTATCTCTGCCTGTCACAGGTTAAGGAACATTTAAATTCTGGAAGTCCACATCAGCTTTTTCTAGATAATGAATCTTAAGTACTTTCCTATATTCACTCAATTAGTGATCGTGGACCTTGATAACACTGCGGAGAGAAAGTTTCCAACTATCATTCAAATCATATCTAAAGAGGTGGTCATAAATATTTTAAAACCTAAGGGAACTAATAAGACCTGGACCCATTAAGGATAAGATCTTTTACAACAAATTAAATAAAACAATTTATTGAAGTCTGGACTCAAGATAAGCTAGATTTACTAGCTGACCTTTTATTCATTTAAAGAACAAAATTAGCTCTAATTGCATTAGAATGGAATCCAGTAAATTTTCCTGAGTCTTCTAATGCGGCATCTATGTAAGAACTGCTGTAATTGTTTACAAGTAAGATGGAAATGCTTTGATTATAATCTCTCCACTTGTTTTACTGTGCAGTAAAAGTATTTCTGAAAACCTAAAGCCAGTTTTTCTGACAGTTTACTATTTTTTTCTAGTAAACATATTGCATCTTTGGTGTTAATGAATAAACAGTATTGTGCCGGGGTAAAAACTAAATTTAGAGACTATATCATTGTTCTAGGTGGTAAAAATAAGACAGTAATATAAGGAAGTCAAAAACTCCTTTTCTGGAAAAATCAGAAAAGGGATGAAGATCTATGGGTTTGGGACTGCTGAATTTGTAAGTACAGGAAGGTAGCAAGAATGACGTATCAAACTCACAACCTTTGTTGCAGTTGTTCAGAGCCTAGGAATTTCACTGGTAATGTTAGCATCTTTCCCTAGCATTAAAAATAGGTCATTTGAAAATTTTAAATACAGTCATTTAAAAATGTTAAATGTCACTTGTGAACTTCACCAGTCATTCTTAAAATTCTTTTTGTCATTGTTGTTATTTTGCTTTTTAAAAATTTATTTATTTATTTATTTATTTATTGTTTTAGAGACAGGGTCTCACTCTGTCCCCCAGGCTGGAGTGCAGCAGTGCAATGACAGCTCACTGTAGCCTTGAGTTCCCAGGCTCAATCAATCCTCTTGCCTCAGCCTCCCAAGTAGCTGGGAGTATAGGTGCACGCCACTACGTCCAGCTCATGATGTTTAGCTTTTAACGTAGGCAAAATACCTATGAAATGTTTCAGTTTCTGTAGCAAGTTAATCAGGGAAAAATAAAACTCCAACATTCTTTAATCTTTTTTTGTGTTGTTGTTGTTGTTTTTAAATCAAAAGCAGACAGTTTTGTTAGGAAGAAAATATTAAAAACAGAAAAGCAAAAGGCCTTCCAAGTCTGACAGGATGACGTTCTGAAATGTTCCCAAACGTTACATCTAAAGTATCCTTTTGTACACCAACCAGGTTCTTTGCCCTGCCTCCCCAGGACACTTTTATAAAAATGCAAAACTGACAGCCTTTTCCTAACTACAATAAAACATATAAATCGCCTTTGCCTGCCTCTTGCCCCTTATTCTGGTGTGAGCCCTCCTTTCCTTCTGGAACCTACCACTTCCCCTTCTGACAGGGCAGCCTCCCTACCACAGGGGCTGCTGAAGCGAAGTCCTTCACGGGGGCTGATAACGGAGGCCCGGGAAGCGGGGCTTCGCCAGGGACTGTGAGCACCAAGAATCACAACAGCCTGAGTGGCCAGGACCACCTCTGCCACCGCAGAGGCCAGATGAGAAGAGGAGGGTGGGCAGAGCCCTAGGATACTTGGCAAGCCTGCAGGTGGCCCCGCCGAAGTCACATCCACCCCTGCTGTTTTCCCCTCTAAGACGGTTTGATTTGGATTTCTGTTACTTGCCACCAAGAGTCTTGATTAACACAGTTCAGAAAAGGAAATAGGAGTGTTTCCACTAGAGATGAAGAGGTGCTTAAGAGCTGTCAGCACTGAGCTGTTCTTTCATGCTTTCCTCTTGGAAAGTGTGCAAAAGTCAACAAAAAATGCCTTTGGGTCACCTATAAAAACCGCTGTGGAGGACACCATCTTTGTCATCTGCTCCCACATAGAAGTTAATTTTTAAATTTACTGCCTTGAAAAACTCTCTCCTGAGAAAGTGAAACACCTTCCTTTAAAAAAAAATGTATTTCAGTCAAGCAAGATTGCTCACACCTGTAATCCCAGCACTTTGGGAAGCCAAGGCAGGTGGATCACCGGAGGTTAGGAGTTTGAGACCAGTCTGGGCAACATGGTGAAACCCCATCTCTACTAAAACTACAAAAAATTAGCCGGGCATGGTGGCACATGCCTGAAATCCTAGCTACCTGGGAGGCTTAGGCCGGAGAATCACTTGAACCCGGGAGGTGGAGGTTGCAGTGAGCTGAGATCACACCACTGCACTCCGGCCTGGGCAACAGAGTGAGGGAGGCTCTGTCTCAAAAAAAAGATAAATAAATAAAAACAAATTAATTTTAAAAATGTATTTTTTTGCCCTTACTGCTAGGAAGGTATGATCATATTTGACCTACAATCATTTGCTTCTTTTTTCTTCCCTTGATCTTAGGGAAGAAGATCTATTTCTATTTCCGACTGTACTATATATACTCTCTTTACTTTCCCCTAAATTTGTTTAGACTAGGAAAAAAGTTATATATGAATAAAAAGCACTTCAAGTATAGAAAGGAAAATTCAGAAAGTGAGATAAAAAACATTTACTATTATTTCTCTAAAGAATGTTTCACTAAAATACCACTGCAAGCTTCACTCTGTTGAATGTCATTTGGCTAAATCTGGCTATATTTTAAAATATAAAATGCTTATTTTCCTTAAAAATATTTTAAATGATTATTTTTGTAACTGCCCATGATTATTCTTCACTACTATTGTCAAAAAGCATTAACTGGAAAAGTTTAGATCACTCAAAGACAAGTGTCTATACATATTGATTTTAAAGATTAACAAGCAAAGCTTTAGCTCTCATTTTCATTATATATAGAAAAAATTTAGACATTACAAGTATTAAAAAGCCCCCACAAGGCTTAAGTTAAACTCTGTGAAATGCAACAAAAAAAAGTAAATGACATGTAAAGGAAAGCATCACATTCTCAGCACCTTTGTTAGGACGAGGGCTGATGATGAAGTTACTGAATTGTAAGAAATCAATCCACTTGCCACCAGAAATCAAAATGTCAGCAGAAAGAAAACTAATGCCAGAGGTAAAGTGGTTTCTGAAAAATATCTTGACATAATTTGTATATTTTGAAAAAGGAGTTATATTTGTTAAACAGAATACCTACTGTGAACTCTCAAAGGGAATTTAGAATTACCATTGATAATAATATTGTTCTCTGAAAGGCATCTCAAATGGTTCCAATATCACCTGATCCAATATATTATGAGATATTTATTAGAGAAAACATGACCATGCATGATGGGATGTCTAGAGGGGCCCAACCAGTCACCCCTTCTCTGGTGCTTGCTGATAAAGGCAGGAGTGCTCTGAAAGCAGGAGGAGGAGGAGCTGCTCACCATGGACCTGGGCATGGGGGACCCACTGCCCGAGGGCAAGGGTGGGTGAATAGATGGAAGAGGGAGGAGGCTTCCTCTTCAGTCCTTGGGAGAAGACAGCAGCAAAAGAGACGTTTGAGAAATCTGAGGGGAAGAATGCTTATTCCTCTACCCTATATTCAGCCCCAAATCTTTATGCAAATTTGTATTTTTTGTTAATACTTTACCAGTGTTTCACCTTTTTCTCACAAAGCTCCTTTACCTGAATTTGAGCTTTATAGAAGAGTTGCAGGCCCTATTCTGCCAAGTCTTTCTTGACAGTTCCATCCAAACAGCCCCTGTCCCTAAAATCCATCACATTACCTTGCTCCTATTTTCTTGACAGAAATGAGGAAAAGGATGAACACTGTAAGTTAGCCAATTCTACCTACATTTGCTCAAAATGACCAAACTCAATACACAGTAAGATGGGGAGGACAAATAACCTGGTGCCTGCTTTGCCACCTGCCCTGGCCTCCATGGTGGCTGTCACACTCACCCTGCTCCCAGCCCCAAGTCCAAGTGGGACCTCAGGATCCCATCAACAGAGTTGCAGGCAGTGGCTCTGAGGCAAGCTGAAACTTACTTGCTATCCCAGCATCAAGGCAAGGCTTCTGCTAGGCTGGACCAGATATTTCAGCAATTCACTTGGATATGTTGTCTCTAGGTGTTGAGACTGTAATTTCAGGGTTAGGTTTTGGTTTTATCTTCAATATAGACTACAGGGAACTCTGGACACCCATTACTGGAAGATCTGTTAAAGGAATCTGAGGTCCTTGGAAAGTCATCTTGAATTTTAACACTATCAGGAGGAGGTCCTGGACTCACCATTGACTCCTTTAGAATACAGTTTCCAGGAATGTTAAATCAAGGGAAAAACAAGTTATTCCTGTCTTGCTTCAAGGAACAATAATAGGGAACACAGGAAACAATCCAAGCTCAAAGTACTTTTCTGGATCAAGGGCAGAAGACATAACTGCTTTATTTAAGACTCAGAAAGTAAATACTGTCTTAAAGATCTTCCAACTAGAAGGTATAATTTGAACCCTGTAAAGCTTTTTCGTTTTTCCTAATTTCAAAAGATGATTCTGCCTGTTCTTCAGCAATAAATACCCCCCTGGACTATTCAAACTCCCCCTTTTGAATCCCAGTCTGCTCATTAATTTCACTTCAAAAGAGTATTATTCCCCCCCAAGGTGTGTGCAAACTGGGTAACCACAGGCACAGTGACAGGAATCTGTCACCTCCCTCCCCATTATCACCATGGACTAAGCCATGTATCATGCTACAACCACGGAGGATCACTGAAATTTGAATGTTACATATTTTCATGTGTCATAATACATTCTTCTTTTAATTTTTTTCCAGCCACTAAGAAATATAAAACACATTCTTAACTTTCAGGTCACAGAAAACAGGCAGTGGCCTGGATTTGGCCCATAATTTGCTGACCCCTGATTTAGAACCACCCCCCACCCCACCACCCCACCCCACAAAAAGCACTTTACTGAATAAGTTTTATTTTACATAAAATTCTATTACTATTAGATTTAGTCCTCTTTCTTTCTCGCTCTATTTTAATTTAAAATGTAATCTATTTCACTTCATTTATCTCTTTGTTCATTATAAGGATTTTCTTGCATCTGCCTTTGGTCAAATGATTAATCCTTCATATAACATGGCAGTCATTACCTACATATCTGAAAGTTTACATGATATATAATATGCTTTCAAGGGCAATTTGTCTAGAATACCTGGGTGTTATAATTTCCGTGATACTAGACATTCTGTTCCAAATAGGATTTCTCATATCTTTCAATATCTCAGGTGTATGAGTGATTTATTGAGGGGGAAAACAGAATAAATAATCAACAGAATGACTGAAAGATGCTTAAAGGCAGGTGAGTTGAATATAACTATCAATGCCTTTTTTTTTTTTTTCATTTTTTTTTCATTTTTTGAGACAGAGACTTGTTCTGTTGCCCAGGCTGGAGTTCAGTGGCGCGATCTCAGCTCACAGAAAGCTCCGCCTCCCAGGTTCATGCCATTCTCCTGCCTCAGCCTCCCAAGTAGCTGGGACTACAGGCACCTGCCACCACACCTGGCTAATTTTTTGTATTTTTAGTAGAGAAGGGGTTTCACCGTGTTAGACAGGATGGTCTCGATCTCCTGACCTTGTGATCCACCTGCCTCGGCCTCCCAAAGTGCTGGGATTACAGGCGTGAGCCACCGCATCTGGCTGCCTTTTATTTTTTATTTTTAGAGACAGGATCTGGCTCTGTTGCCCAGGCTGGAGTGCAGTGGGCACGATCATAGCTCACTGCAGCCTTGAACTCCTGGCCTCAAGTGATCTTCCTGCCTCAGCCTCCCAAGTAACTGGGACTACAGGCATGGCCTACCATACCTGGCTTTTCAATGCCTTTTAACAAATCTTATTCCTCTAAAGGGTATGAGCAAGCCAAACTTCTGTGTGGGAGTCAAGATTAAGTAATGGTGAGTTACTGAGACATGGGAATAAATATAAACTGCAGGAGAAAAGTACTTGTTGAATGATGGATAACAACATCTTCCTCTTAGAGAAATGAGCCCATATGCAGAATTTGCATGGAGATGGAAGATTTACTTTGGTTGGGTCTTCTCTAAGCTCTACTGGTTAAGGGATGAGGACATTCTTCATGCTTCTGTAGGTAAGATAGGGGCATTAGGTATACCAGATAGCTGGTTTCAAAAGCACTGAATCCACAGGATTTTTGCTGCATTTCCTAGGTCTCTACTGGCACAACCGAAAAGAGTAATGTGGAAATTATCCAGAGAATTTAGGTGAGAAAAACAGAAGCCATCAGATTTTCTCCTTTAAATCTTCAGAGGGGTATACACTCCCCTGGAAAACCAAGTTGCCTCTCTGCTCACATTCATCAGAATCATGCTGGACTTTTTCTTTGCACTACACGTGGAACTGACAGAAGCAACAGTATCAATACATGTAACTTTTAAGATGAAATGAACCACTGAGAATACAAAGCAAATTTTCTGTCCTCTCTACTAAATAAATTCATGGCTCCTACTCTCACTTTTATGGCTAAAAATTGAATGTAAATGGAATGCCTTGTAAGCCTATTTTCAACACAATATTTGATTGCAATGTAAACTGCATTTTCAGGCTTAATGGGAAAAGTAAGGTTGTAGAATTTTTATCTTGTGTATTTTATTTAAATGATGCATAATATGCTTTTAGAACAAGGGGAATGATTTTCAACATGAGTTCCAAAAAAAAAAATCAATGTTTCATTATCTTATTAGGATCAGGTAAGAGTACTGTAGGCCTTAATGCTTCCCCAAAAAATGAATAAAAGAAAAATATCCAACAGATTAACTGTAAAGACGAGTGGGTTGATATGATGATTCCATGAAAATTAAGACAAATAAACAGCAAACGTGGGGTTTGCATTTCTAGGGCTTCCTTAAAAAAAAGTGGACTAAGTCATCAGTTGTGACTATTACATACTGTCTCTCCAAGCCTTTGGCATTTCTTTGTTTTACAGGTACAGAATAAAACCATGTGCCATCTGAGCAAAAAGAGAATCTTTGTTCTTTGTCATGGTGACAGATACTATGTACTTGGGAAAGTGTAACATTGCATCCACCTGGGTGTAATGTGGCAGTAAGTCCATTCAGTACAGAGTTTCTTATTTTTCAGATAAGTGGGACCTTAAAGACTATGCAGAAATAATGTCAGGTGCTAGTCTTTAAAAAAGAGAAAAAGAACAAGAAAAAAAAAATCCTTTACGTCAAATAAAGCAAAAAGCATTTACTCTGTGAAAGAAACCAATAAAAACTTGAAAACGAAGAGTTCTAAAAATAAAGCTTGACCCTACAGGTTCATACCTGGGAGAAGCTTGTGGAATTCTAAGTCCCTTAGGAAAGAGTAGAGAAGGTTAAATTTCATTTGTTTCACCCTGATTCAAAACGTTTATACTTACATCTTGTCTTGGCCAGCACCGACTCGGAGAGTTAATCTGGGGATAACTGGACTCGGGGCCAGAGCGACTGGTTCCACTTTTATCTGTGGAAGTTAGCACATTAAAGTTCAATATGGTTTTTCAACAAAAGTACCTCCTACCACTTCTCCTACTCTCCCACTCTCACAAACTGAGTTAAAAAGTTGAAGCCTTAAATATGGCTAAAATTTAGACAGAAAGACAATCTGGGCCATTCTGTACAACTGAAGGCTACCTGGCATCATGAGAAATTCTGCAAACTTTAATCATGCTATATAAATATGGTAGTTATTTCTATTTGTTTGGGTTAACTTTTGGACTTAATTATATTGTTAAAATTTTTAAACAAAAATTGTTACCTAGATCATTTCTGGTGGAGCATTTAAATAATTACCAGACTTAATATAAATAGAAAAAACTGCGATGATGTCTTCCCTATAAGATAAAAGCATCTGTTTATGGAACTTGACAAACATTAAACTCATCTTAAGTTTGCGTTATCAAATGAGAAAGTTGAAATACTAAGTGTAATTGTACCATTCAACTGTTCAATTTTTGGCTAGGGGTAAAACAATCTGAAATGCTGTAAAAGAAAACAAAAACAAGCAGGGTGTGGTGGCTCATGTCTGTAATCTCAGCACCTTGGGAGGCCTGAGGCAGGCGTCATGAGGTCAGGAATTCGAGATCAGTTTGGCCAACATGGTGAAACTAAAAATACAAAAAATTAGCTGGGCGTGGTGGCGGGCGCCTGTAGTCCCAGCTACTCAGGAGGCTGAGGCAGGAAAATGGTGTGAACCCGGGAGGCGGAGCTTACAGTGAGCCGAGATCATGCCAGTGCACTCCAGCCTGGGCAACACAGCGAGACTCCGTCTCAAAAAAAAAAAAAAAAAAATTAGCCAGTCATGGTGGCGGGTGCCTGTAGTCCCATCTACTCAAGAGGCTGAGGCAGGAGAATCGCTTGAACTCAGGAGGTGGAGGTTGCAGTGAGCTGAGATTGTGCCACTGCACTCCACCCTGGGTGACAGAGCAAGACTCCATCTTAAAAAAAAAAAAAAAGAAAAAAGAAAGAAAACGAAAACAGATATTCTCTTTTGGAATGGATTTGTGGTGAAGGCAATGGCTGCCAAATAAGATAAAGACCTCAGAAAGATCTGACCTGTTCGTCAGAAGAGAACACAGAAACTAAGTCTGATGTTAAAGGGTCTCTTCACAATTGTTGGTTTGCAGATCATATAATCAACATTTTGAATTAACAAGCTAAACAAAAGCTCTGCATTTCCAAATTACTGTCTATCTCCAAGTCTTTCGGTGGGGCTGTAGGATTGGTATTTTTGGTGGGATGGTTCTTTGTTGTAAGGCACTGTCCCAAGCACTGCCAGATGTTTAATGTCACTGGTTTACTGTTAGTCACTGACTAGCTGCAACATTAATTTATGTATTTCAAGCTCATGAATTACATCATAATTGAACAGTATAGTGGTTCTAAAGGGGAACACATAAAATAATGATCAACATATCATAAAGTTAATATAGTACATGTAGATCAAATCTATTATTTTCTCTCATGTATTTATCTGTCTCTTCCTAGAGTTGTTTTTCAAATCCCTCAGCCCATCAAGATCTACTGCTTCGACAGCTCCCTTGCATGATGCCTGCATGCAGGAGATGCTCGGCAGACATTTGTTGAATTATCAACTTATCTTGCCCCAACCCTTTTACCTCTTAGTTATTCCACCATACATCCAGGACCAACCTAAAACCATCCCCTAGAGCACCGAGTGATGCCAAAGAACATTTTTAATTCCAGCTTCATGTATGCCTCCAATACTAGCTGTTTACCAGCTAACCCAGCTAAGGGCAGGGACCATGCGCGTTTTGCTTACTGCTATTTTCTAGTGCCTGTTTCAGGATCTGACCCTAGTAAGTCTTAAGATAAGTGTAAAGCATGAATATGAAGCAATGATTTCAATCTTTAGCACTTTCAAGACTCTTCCCATGACCTTCTTTCCCCTTCTACACATCTAACTCCACAGGAAATACCGGTGAGGCCACCAGTATTGAAGGAGAGCTCTGTCAATTCCCTACAAACTTCTCTGTGCCCACAATTACACTAGCATCTGTCTCCTGCTGTCTTCTAAAGAAGCTTTCTCTATCATCTGCTTATTTACAGTATCTTCAGTCTTTCTGTTCCACGAATTATTTTCATCTCACTCTTTTTTTTTTTTTTTTTTTTTTGAGACAGAGTCTTGTTCTGTTGCCAGGCTGGAGTGCAGTGGCAATCTTGGCTCACTGCAACCTCCAACTCCCAGGTTCAAGAGATTCTCCTGCCTCAGCCTCCAGAGTAGCTGGGATTACAGGCAGCTGCCACCATGCCTGGCTAATTTTTGTATTTTTAGTAGAGACGGGGTTTCACCGTGTTGGCCAGGGTGGTCTCGATCTCCTGACCTCGTGATCCGCCCGCCTCGACCTCCCAAAGTGCTGGGATTACGGGTGTGAGCCACTGTGCCCGGCCTTCATCTCACTTTTAAATGTGCTCCACTCCATCTTAAACATTTTCTTAACTTCTCTTCAACCTCTAGCTAACAATTTCTCACACATTTCAATCTTCACTTCATTGTCTGTTTTCTCACTTCTTCTTCATTCCTCAACCCTTGCCAATGTCCTCATGTCCCAGTTTTCCCATTATAGGTCTTCTCATGCTCCTTCCTTCTCCTTTACAAACTCCTCTTCTTTCACCCAACCTTACTTGGCCCTCTCCTCTTGTCATGCTACAGTTTCTTTAGTGATCTCATCCCTGCCCACAGTTTCGAAAGTAAGTTTAAAATACGTCTTCAAAATTTTGGTCTGGATTAGCACTGATTGACACTAAGGCCAAAATATGAAGATGCCTATTCAACATTTTCAACTAAATAACCTATAAGTATTTCATCTCATCACACTGAAATCTTAACGTATCAACTTGCCCACAAACCGCCCCTTCCCCCTAGCCAACATCACTCTTGGCTGATGTCTCCTTCATTTACCTGGTCCTGCAGACAGTATGGTCCAGGGTCAAGGGTCATGAGGGGGATGGGTGGCGGGTGGAGCAAGACCCTTGCATAACTAGTTAGCATTCAAGTCTCGTGTGTGTGTTTGTGTGTGTGTGTGTGTGTGTGTGTGTGTGTGTGTGTGTATGTTTCAGAAGGAATCTCACTCTGTCGCCCAGGCTGGAGATCAGTGGCACGTTCTTGGCTCACCACAACCTACACCTCCTGGGTTTAAGTGATTCTCCTGCCTCAGCCTCCCGAGTAGCTGGGATTACAGGTGCATGCCACCATGCCCGGCTACTTTTTGTATTTGTATTAGAGACAGGGTTTCACCATGCTGGCTAGGGTGGTCTCAAACTCCTGATCTCGTGATCTGCCTGCCTCAGCCTCCCAAAGTGCTGGGATAACAGGCGTGAGCCACCGTGCCTGGCTGTCTCCAATATATTTTTTAAATGAAGAGTTTTATATCTAAACAAATCTGAAAACAAATGGTCCAGTCTTATGAACTATTTAAGACTTCCTCATCTTTCTGTGTTATCTGTGGAAGAATAAACAAATATAACAAAAATAAACAAACATTTACAAGCTACCTATAATTTGCCAGGCATTGTGCTTGGTTATATTCCCAATGTGCTCATTAAGGTTTTTAAAAAACAAACATGTAGGGTAGATAATGTGGGTTTCATTTTACAGGTAAACTGATCATATATGGAGAAACCATTTTTCCTTTCTTTTCCATTTTGTTTTCCTTTTCTCTTCTGAGGTCACACAAATAGCAAAACTGAGACGGAATGCAGTCTTTTTGATTCAGAGAATGAAAAATTATATGAAGTTCTTATATTCTTCAACTCTAACAATTTTAGGGTTACACAGTCATCAGTGATGAGGTATTAGAAGTGATATTTCTTATTTCTTCAACTGACAACACTAGCATGTACGCATTCCAATAACCTTTTCTTAAGCTCGATTTTAAAATAAAGCTGTTTGACCTACCTTTAAAAAAATTCTGCTCTACTATTATTGAGTTGTGTGTTTGGCCCATTTTTATTACCATAACACCCAATAATGATAACTTACACTTGTATAGCACTTGGTGAACTGTGTCCTATTTACATTATTCAACTCTATCTTCACAACTCTATAGGGTAGGTGTGGATGGTGTTATTCCCATGTAAGAGCTCAGAAGGAGTAAGTGCTTTACCTAGAGTTACAAAGTTAGTAAGTAAATGGCCTAAATCCAGGTCTCCTGACACCAAATTCATCCCCTGTTCACCCTACTGCTCCTTAACTCTCTGACGCACATTGTGAGTCCTTTTTCTGGTAATATTGATGGCTTACATGGAGCTATTCACTTTATTTGTCAATATCTCTTATGATAAATATTTGTGAGATGGCTGGGGTTAGTTGTAAATTTTGTTCTCCATGGGAGGCTAACTAGTTTATATGGAAACTGACATTAACCTTGGCCCCACCTTCACTCAACCAAACTAGCTGGGTTTTCAACGCTGTCTTAAATGGCTTGGCAGGACAAAGGAATCAAGAAATGGTCTGTTTATTATCTACTATAAAAAAACCCTAAATAATACAATATGTAAAAATTAAGTAAACAAAAGTGGAAACACATAAGTGAGATTTAAAATGGTATAAATGTGCCCGGAAGGCAACAGGTATTCAGTCAACTGGTTGAATTAATGAATGATTCACAACCTGCTATCTCGGCTCAAAGTTTCATCTGTAATTACAGTGTTTGTATCATCTAAACACAGATGCCTCTGACAGGAAAAGAGGGAGCTATTAATTATACCACATAACTGGGATTGTCCCAGGCAAACCAGGATATATCTAAAAACTACTTAAATACTTTTATTTCATTCCTAAAAACAAGTTAAATTAGATTTAACTTGAGAAAATTCAAGGGATTGTAGAAAAAGATTAATGAGGATGCTAATAATATACATACAGAAAGTACAATTTCGAAATTAAAATTTCTTCCCGGATTTTTGTTTCCATTAACTTTATCTGTGTGCTCACCAAAATAAAAACAGAGGCATTTCCTACAATCATAAAATAATTTCTCACATGCACTTACCAAAAACAACAAACAAAAGGATGACTTCAATCACTTAGACAACATGACTAATGCCATCTTTTAATGGCATCAAGCCAAAATCTGGGGCCACGATGAGCTTTTAAGGGTTAAAATAAAAGAACAGCACTTTGGAGTAATGCTGAGAATTGGGGCACACAGAAGAGCATTTACAGTGGATTACTAAGCTTCCCAATTCACCAAAGAGGTAAAGTCCAGCAATATAAGACTCCTTTGTAGGTAACTAAAAATACATTGTCAGTGGATTTGTCCAGTTTTATGTAGAAGCAATACTTCTTTCACCTGAACTAATACTAGTAGTCATATAAGCCCCTTATTGCCATGTGCTGCATTTTTTTTGTTAATCTTCAAGGATTTAGCTTCTTCGCCACACACCTCAGGGCACCAACTGATAAAGCTCTAACTCTCCATTTTTCCAGGACACCAGCAGTGCGGCCTTGCAAAAAATGAAAATCGCTCAAGAGATTTAAAGGGGAAATTTATTTTTAAAATCCTGACTTGAAGCAAAGAGGTGGATTTTTAAAAAGCTTATCTATAAAGAATCAGTTCAAATTTAAATTCTATCTTGGAACTCTTTCATGCATTCCAGCTTTAAAGTTTATCTTTTGACAGGGACTTTCTGCAAAGGTAATGGGCAGCTTTGTCAATATAATCTGTCCAAGGTTTTTTATTTTTTTATTCTTTTAATGTTAAACTCCTTTCATTAAAAAAAAAAAAAAACACCATATATGTATACTAGCTAGGGTAGCAGCAAATTTAGCAAGCGCTAGTTCAGATTCCCATCTATGCCGGTATGTTAGAAAAAAACTCACAAATAGTACTGATGAAAGCTCAACAGAATAACCTAACATTTGGATGCTGAACTATGGCTGTAACCATCTTGTATTTCTCAGCAATTAAGGTCTTTACATTATTTCCATTTAGAAACACAGTCTAAGTAAACTCTGATAACTATTTAAAATATTAAACAGAGAGTCAGAAGATGTGCAGTTGTGGTTAAGTATAACAAGTGCCACCCCATGTAGACAGCTGAGACAGAATATGAGCTTTCCCGTCCGTGCTCAGAGTGTAGAGTCAGAAAGGCTGGGAGCTGGCCTTGGGTGAACTACAAATTTAAATATACTCATTTAAACATTAAGTTTCTTGTTTTCTCTTGGAACATACAGTTATGAGAAACAGGAAGGAAACATTTCCCTCCCCTTTATTGGGTTTATTTACAAAAAAAACCCTTCATTTCACGAATTAATTACAATAGCTGATGAGAAAAGACTTGGAATGAGACTACATTACTTTAAACAAAAGAGGAAAAGGATGAAAACCCTTCCTTAAAGGTACAAACCAATTAGATGATTTATCATTCTCTAAAGAACAAACCGTTTAAATTTAATAAAAGATTATTTGGGGGCAAATCCTACAGGACTTGGGGATAAAGAAACATTAAAATTTTTAATTGTTCTGATTGCTAAAGTCATCAAAGTGTAAAGGATATCCCTTTCCTGCTCTTTAAAATATGGCGGTTAAACAGGTGCTCTCTAAGGTATCTCCAGGAACTAACATTTTATAAAATCATGATGTGCCCTTGCCATCAAGCATCAAACCATTCCTATCCCCCTCATTTGCATTTGTCACTTAGGTCACCAAAGCAGACTGAGGTAAGTGGCTGAGAAGGCCATTCTGGGCAGTAAACAACACAGGCCTCGGGCAGACAGGCCTGGGCCCCCTCCCCTCACTGGCTACAGCAAGGTACTCGACCTTTCTGTGCAGTTTTCTCAACTGTAAAACAGGAACCACTATACCAAACCCTCAGAGCTGTTGGGAGAATTAAATCATTGAATTCTGGCAAGGCCTGGAACCTGTAGGCACTCAAGAGGTGGTAGATGCTAACACTGTTGACTATCGAGTTAGTTTATTCAGTAGCCAAAGTTCAAATAAAACAATTCCTCAATCAACAGGATAAAAAATGTTGAGAATCCTTTCTAGAATTTATGGGCTTTCCATTGTCGACAACTCCCAATTATGCAGGGGTTGATCATCAACACTATTGGATATGTGTATGAAAATTCAGGAACTGTTGTAGTCCTCTACTTATCTTAATTAAATGACACAAACTGCTCTTCATTTATTGTTTTCTAAGAGAAGGCAGAAGAGAAAGCCTCTGAAGCCAGAATATTCTTCGAGAAGGTATGAAACTACTGTTTTTAAGCAGAGATAAGTTAAACTTTAGAATGCTGCTGTCTCTTCCTAGTTTTGAATGGGAGGAAGGAGACGGAGGAAGGAAGCAGAGGGTCTGCGAGGATGGGAGGTTGGTGAATAACGAGTAAGTGGCAGAGCTGGAATTTCCACCCCGGTCAGTGTGGCTGCCAAAGCCATGCTCCCTCAGCCAGCACTGGACTTACTTATCTACAGATGGTGGGTGATGTCAGCATTTTTGGGGTGAAACTCTACTGTGCCTTTCCAGATCATATTCGAATGTAAAAACAGATCCCCCACTTTGACAGATGGATTTTGGCTTACTTTCTATTTAAGAATATAGGTATAACCATCCAGTTCCACTAACATAAATTTAAAAATGCATTTATTTTTTCAAAATGATCCTCCCTCCAAAAATCACTTAAAAGAACAAGAGGGAATTGTAATTAAAGTAATCCTGTATACTCATCTAAACCCCAAAGATCCATGCAATATATACACCAACCCACACAGAAACCAAAATTTTAATAAAACATTTTTAAAAATTGTACTTAATCCCAAATGTGACAGTATTAATAGCAATTTTAAACTGTTCTGAAATGTAATGTTAGATTTATCACTGCTACAACTATTATGGCTGTGACTGCAATTGGATAATATAAGTGCTCTTAACATGTCTTTTTTTTTTAAGACAGGGTCTCACTCTGTTGCCCAAGCTGAAGTGCAGTGGTGCTATCCTCCCGCCTTAGCCTCCCAAGCAGCTGAGACTCCAGATGTGCAACACCATGCCTAGTTAATTTAAAAAATAGGTTTTTGTTTGTTTGTTTGTTTGTTTGTTTGTTTTGGAGAGACAGTCTCACTATGTTGCCTGGGCTGGTCTCAAATTCCTGGCCTCAAGTAATCCTCCTGCCTTGGCCTCCTAAACTATTGGGAGCATGAGCCACTGCACCTGGCCATTAACATGTGTTTTATAAAAAGTTAATGTGGTTCTATTTTAAATAAGTGACAGTCTAGAGTCCCAACCCTGACTAGGTGTCTGACTGCCCACGAAGGGGAACTAAAAGCTTGCACAACTCACCACTCTCTGGATTTATCATCACTAATAGAAAAACAATTTGAACTTCTTATGGTGAGTTACCAACCAAGTGATTTCACTTATCCCATTTTAACATAATATAGAAAAGTGTGGTAGTGAGGACCATAAATTATAGCATCTGACAGCCTGGATTGAAATTTTGGCTCCTGTTCAATCACTTACTAGATGTGTGATCTTGGGCAAGTCTACTAATCTCTCTAAGCCTTAGTTTCTCATCTTAAAGTGATAATAATTACAGCATCTATCTTAGAGGGTTGTGGTAAGGAATTAAAGTGCTTAGCATGGTGTTTGGCACATAGTAATTACTCACTGTTAACTATGACTGTTTTGCTGTTTTTAGTGTTCTTATCATTATTTCTAAAGATGAAATACTTAAGGATTAAAGAAGCTAAAAAACTTGTCCTGGATCTTATTCCAGGTCTGCTGGATTCCAAAGCCCAAAGCTCCTTCTACCTACCATGCAAATTCCGTTTTAATTAATCACATCTTTATTGGTTCTTGGTATCAGCTTTATAAGCAGGTAAAATAAATGTGGAGATTGAAAAATTTAAACAAATGCTCTTGCTTGCCGATCTGGGTCAGTGTCTGGGAGAGTTGCTCTTGGTCAGGATGATGAGAAGGGAAAATGAGATTGTGGCCTTCATTCTTTTGGCTGAAAACATTTTCTTGGGGCAGCTTGTCTCACTTTAGTTTAACCTTTGGTGCCTTACATAAAGCTGCTCACATAAAGTGAGCAGATATGTCTCACTTTAGTTTAACCTTTGGTGCCTTACTTCTGTAGATTTGTAGGAAAATTCTCGGACCATATGGAACCGCATTTCAGGTGTATTTTTGTTTACTCATATGCTGTGGTGCTTGGGGGATTTAAACGGGGTTGAAGAAAGGGAAGTCTTAACATTTATGTTACTATCCCAATTTCTACTCCTTATCAATGGCATTTCCCTGGGTTGTCCTAACCTTTATCCTTTCCTATTTGTATCAAGGGCTAATATTCCAAAGAATGCCAAGGAAGTAGAATAATTTTTAAAACCTATTAATAGCTGACCTGCCCATATTAACACAGGCTAGCTGATATGGTCCAATGGAGCAGCAATCTCCAGGTTCCTACATTTTATAGTTTGATTCAGAATGGAACACTCTCTCCATCTACTGACATTTATGCGTCAGATACGGTACTAAGCACACCTTGTATGTTCTCATTTAATCCTTATATAAATGACTTACCCATTTTACAAAAGTCAGGATCTGAACTCAGGTCTAATTCTATAGACATTACTATTTATTATTTATAAAGGTCTTATAAGATAGCTGAATTTTCTACATTTTTATCTTTTGCCATGTACCTGCTCCATAGCCCAGCAAAACTGATCCAAGAACATGTATCTTTCTCTCAGGTGGACTCTGTGCTTCGAGGGACTGAGCCTTTGCCTTCCACCAAGGTGGTCTGGGGGACTTTTCTTCCCTAAAGTCAGGTAGATGCTGTAGAAAGGCATGGGACTGCTGTTACAAACCTAATCTGATGGCTTCACTCAAATTCATAATGGCTGTTGAAACAACTCCACTGACTTTCCAAAGTGAAGATGGTGGTGACAGGAACAGTCCCCTGTTTGATTTACTGAGGGCTCAGCTGCCAACTTACTAGGTACACAAGGGATAAATGACTAACTGCTGTCAGGCAGTATCTCTAACAACAAACCCCTCACCACGTGAAGTCTCTCTGCAGTGTAACTGACCTGGCTCTTGCTAGCTGTGTCATCCTGATCTTGGACAAGTCACTCTCTCAGGCTCAGTTTCTCTTCCATAAATATCGATGATAATACCTGCTGGACCTATGTCACAGGTGTGTTAGGAGGAGAAAACAAGGTGTATGGATCTGCTTTAAAACCTGACAACTACTATATAGAAATTGCATAATAATAAATAAAATGATTTTTTAAATGGAAATAAGAGTTGGATTTCTGTGTCTTGTTAACTTGTCAATGTTCAGTTATTGATATCAGAATTCCCATTTCACTTTTTTATATTTTAGGATAGCCAAAGAGAACAAAGAACAAATCAAGGTAGGCGAAAAATGGGAGTTGCCATTACTGCTGTCAAATACACTCAGTTTTCTAGGTAAGTTTGAAGTTAAAAATACTCCGAATTTATTGGTAATATATCTGCTGCAGGTCAAATACATCAAATTTTATCATATGAACAAAACTACTGGGTATTATTTTGTGGCCAAGCTCAAAGAAGATAACTTTTAGAGGGCAGGGAAAGGATCATCAGGAGCTCTGGGGTGGCACTATGAAGAGATACTTTTTCGGAAAGTTTATGAGAAATTTTCAAATAACCCAGCCGGCTGCTGTAATCCAAGAAACCACAGACTGAAAAGCAAAGCTGGGTAAGCAGAGGTCACAGCCTGAGGACTGAGGCCCCAATGCCTACAAAACTGCGGGGTTTCTATCAGTTTGTCGGGCTGTATGCTATGAAATGAAGTCTGACTTACTGAGATGGTCAAACATTTCTGCCATGTGGGATTACTTTCTGCCCACTCACCAGGCTGCCAGATCAGCCTAGATACTCAGAAATGTGCCCTTATCTTATTAAAGCAGAAAACGGAAGGAATAAAAGATGCTACGGAAAGTTCTGTAGACAGGCATAATCCTAAACACATGCCAAAATGGCGCACCAAAAAGAAAACCAAGGCAGTGGTCCTTCCACGGGCCTTGCTGTCCTCTTAAAATAGTGCCGTGGTTTTGCATGCTTTTAGAAACATGGATGCTGCCTTTCTCAATATATGGGTGCAAAATATAATGCAGTACACTTGATAATTCACATAAATATTATTCACAATTTAAGAACCCAGATTTGTTTTTTTTAAGCTGCCAGAGATCACTATAGCTAATAGAGAGTTTATAGTCTGTGATTAGATGCCTCTTAGGCTATGAATTTTTAACATCTGCTAGTGTGTTGAGGGCTTGATTACAGGTTTATGGGTTTTAGAATTAAAATCAAATTTTGTAACCTCATTATAAACATATTTCCACTTAAGTGATGGGTGATTTACACCCAGAATACAGATATAATTGTGGGCTTTGTTTACCTGTGTTTCTCACTAGGACTCTGTTCAGATAGGGCCAAAAATGAGAAACTGCTTACTTTTTCATGCTTGTGTTTCTCCTTCTCTTTTTCTCTCTTCTCTCGCTCTCTCTTCTCTTTCTCTCTTTCCTTCTCCTTCTTCTCCTTCTCTTTTTCCTTCTTTTTCTTCTTCTCCTTTTTGTCCTTTTTCTTTTCTTTCTCCTTCACCTTCTCTTTCTCCTCAAACAGTTTTTCCGGAAGCACTGGCAACAAAGATGGCAGCATGGCTGGGACCCTGGAGGCTGTGGCAGGGCTGAACAAGGGCAGGGCCAACTCTTTTGGGGGCAACACCAGTGGGGGTGCTGGGGCTTTCATCTTATCTTCTCTGCCTTTATCTTTCACTTTTTCTTTCTCTCTCTTATCTTTATCTTTCTTGCCTTTCTCTCTATCTTTCTTCTTATCTTTATGCTTCTCTTTCTCCTTCCTCACAAGTCCATCTTTCAATTTCACTTTGGGATCAACATCTTCAAATTCTTTGATTTTAAACTTGTAGGGATCTGCCTCTTCCTCTTTAAGAAATTCCTTCCAGGGATACTTTGTTTCCCTGCCAGTTTCCTTGTCTTTCTCTTTCTCTTTCACTTTATCCTTCTCCTTACTTTTGTCCTTGTTCTTGTCTTTTTCCCTCTCCCTATCTCTCTGCTTTTCTTTCTTTTTCATTTTAGTCTTTAGTTCCTTTTTCAACTTCTTCTTTACCTCCACGGAGGAAGGCAGCTTGGTTTTCTCCTCATACACCTTGTGGAGAGGTTCGGGAGTGGGAGGAGACACTGACGGAGAAGAGATATAAGGAAAGTTGGGGGGCATATTTGAAGGTGTTCCCAGTTTTGCTTTACGTACAACCTCATCAATGGAGGCATCCATTGTCCATGAGTTATCGGAACTTGAGGTTCCACCGGAAAGAGGCAGAGGAGTGGATCCTGACTTTGTGAAATTGTTCGCGGAAGTGGAAGCTTTGGGAGTAGTACACTCCGGGCCTGAAATTCTCTTAGGGCTAGTAAAAATGTCTCCTTCAGATTCCGATCCAGAAGAAAATTCGAAAGGATCTGGCTCTCGCTCAGCACAGGCTCGTGCAATCACAGCATCGATAGAGGCCTCAATCGTTTTATCTGCTACCACAGCCTTTTTCGGCTGATTCTCACTGTTCAGTTTCCCAGCATCAGGGGGTGTCTGTATTTGTTTTACCTGGATAGTCTCTTTACTGATTTTTTCACTGAGTGTAGCTGAAGGAGTCCTGTTGGGCGTTTCAGGTCTCACAGGTGTTTGGGGAATGTGAGTCGTGACCTTGGGGCTCTTGGGACTCTTGGGGCTCTTGGAACGTCCAGGTGATTTCTTTTCTTTGGATACAGTTTTTGGTGATCGAATAGGACTTCCGACCATTGCTGGTGACTGGGCGGTTTTAGGTGATTTAGTCTTCTGTCCTGGAGAGCTAGTTTTAGTCTTTGTTTTAGGTGTAAATGACTTTGTTTCTAATGGTTTTGCAGTTGGCATTTGTGATTTTGCAACTGGAGCCAACATTGGCGGCTCGGGTGAGGGAGGTGCCAAGTCTGTACTGTCCTGTACATGGACTGGAGAAAGCATTGGTGGGATCTTTTGAGTATTTATTGAGCTGAGTGGCTCTCGAGCTTCCAATAACACAACATCTAGCGTGTCCCCTTTAGTGCTTAATAGCCGAGGCCGCTTCATGGCTGGCAGTTCTTCAGCTTCAGGACTATCCAGTGGTCTCTTGCCCAGGAAATTCTCATCATTAATAATTTCTTCCTCCTCCAATTCATCATCTTCTTCCAAGGGAACCTGCATGGCTTCTGCTGATGTGCCTCCATCAGTGGGCACCTGCTCTTCTTCTTCTTCTGGTAAAGGAAGAAAAAGGAAGAAAAAAATAAATATTATTGGAATGTAACAAAACCTAAGAAATAAAAACAATGCTTCAAATATGATTTCTTTTTTCTTTCTTTTTTATTATTATACTTTAAGTTCTAGGGTACATGGGCACAACATGCAGGTTTGTTACACAGGTATACATGTGCCCTGTTAATTTGCTGCACCCATCAACTCATCATTTACATTAGGTATTTCTCCTAACGCTATCCCTCCCCCAGCCCCCGACCTCCCAACAGGTGCCGATGTGTGATGTTCCCCTCCCTCTGTGTCCATGTGTTCTCACTGTTCAACTCCCACTTATGAGTGAGAACATGCGGCGTTCAAACATGATTTCTAAAAAAAAAAGGAAATTATTGACAGTGTTTAAAAAGTAAGTTAGTTTTCAAGGATCTTCCAAACATGTGTGCCATCATTCTTAAAAGAGTGGCAGTCAGTAACAGCAGATGTACAAATTGATCATTGTCCTTTCACATGGTCTGGCCCTAACCTCAGGATCTGGAAATTGCTCGGTATTTCCAGTTGGCCTTCTGTTGTTTCCTGAATTAATTATTTTCCTAACCAGTAAATGCCATCTTTCTCTATCTCTCTCTCATGCACATAGAAGCACACGTGCGCACCCACACACCCTCTAAAAAATCAAGAGATGGATTATTATAGGACTTAGTATGGATTATTATTATTATCAGGAATGACAGGTATTTTTAGGACTTTTATGACAAATTCATATACTACTTATGTCTTCTATTTTGCTTGCTTGATGTGAGCCACTTGGAGAGGGAGTATGGTGCAATGAAATACACTTGGTTTAGGCACTTGACAAATGGTTTTTCGGCTAGAGTTACGGCACTAGAGAGCAACCAGCCTTAGGGACTCTCTCAACCTCTCTGAGCCTGTTTCCTAATCTTTCAAAAAGGAGCCGATGTTACTTGCCCTGCCTACTTGGCTGAGTTTTTCTAAGATCAGATTATTTCTCCCAACACATTTTAACTAAGCATATAATGTACAATGATAAAGTCTAAAAGAGCCACTGAAATAAATCAGAAATAAATCACAACTAAAAGAGCTCACAGTTTAGTGCAGCAATAACAGATATGTCTAGCCCACAGAAAGTGATCAGTGCCACAGACAGATAAAGTGCTACAGCAGGTCAAAGGAGAGACAGATCTCAGCGAGGTCAATCATGCGGAGGAGGCTTGATTAATTATGCAGCGTTTGGGATAGTTGGAGACTGGAAGTGGTGAAGTCCAGGACAAAGGGTCAGATGACAAATAGATGAAGGTGAAACACGGGGAGTGTAAGAGAAACAGAAAATTATTTGTCTGGAAAGTAGAGTGCAAGGTGGGGAGCAGTAGGAAGCAGGTTTAGTAAAATTGCATCCAGATCCTAGGACTTTTGAATTCCAGAAAAAGAAACATAATCTTTATTCTACTGGTAGTTTGGACCTAGAAGGATTTTAGACAACAGAGAAAAACGTGTGGGGTATGTGTTGGGAAAAGTCACACTGGCAGGAACACGCAGGATGGATGAGGGTGGGAGGTGATGGGTACTGAAGGAGAGCAATAACATGGATTACTGAAGTGATGTGAGAGGCAGTAAGGGTCAGAGCTAGAACAGTGGAAATGATCAGGAAGCAGCAGAGGTGAAGGATATTCTGAGGATAGAATGGATAGAATCTGATAAATGATTAGGGTATAAGACTTGAGCAAGGACTCAAACACAATTTCAAAGCTTTGAGCCTGGTCAGGCATGGTGGCTCATGCCTGTAATGCCAACATCTTGGGAGGCCGAGGGAGTAGGATTACCTGAGCCCAGGAGTTTGAAACCAGCCTGGGCAACATAGTGAGACCCCATCTTTACTAAAAAATACAAAAATTAGCTGGGTGTTGTGGTGCGTGCCTGTAGTCCCAGCTACCTGGGAGACTGAGGTGCAAGGGTCACCTGAGCCCAGAAGGTTGAGGCTGCAATGAGCCATGATTGCGCCACTGCACTCCAGCCTGGGCGACAGAGCGAGACCCTATTTTTAAAGAAAAAAAAAAGGGAAAGAAAGCTTTGAGCCTTGGTGAGTGATAAATGTAGTGATGAACAGAAACAGGAAATAAGGAAATAGAAAAGGACAATGATTATTAGCTCAATCCCTAGACACAGAGTTTGATGAACATTTAGTCTGCAATGCCTACTCGGCAGCTGAAATATAATACAGATGATCAGAAAACAGGACAGAGTGCATGAGAGAAAGAGTGTTGTTGAGATAACTAAAGTCACCATGATGGATGATATGAACAAGGAAGAAACAAGAGGAAACAGGTTCAGGTATTTTGAGGAATACCTATATATAAAAAGAAAAGGAAGAAGAACTAAAGAAATACATGGAGGGTCAGATGTCAAAGAGATCAAGGGAGCAAGAGTTTTATGCAGAAGGCAGGTGAACAAAGCCAAATGCTTAAGAGGTCAACGAGGATGAGGCCAACAGCAGAAGCCATGCTGCAAAAGCATGAAGGATGCACAGATGGAGAACGCGTGAGATGATGCATGGGGAAGTACTTAGTAAATCATAAAGAACATCACAACCTCATCAATTATGCTACCGATTCGCGATAATGATGGCATCACCCACCAGGTCCCAAGTCAGGAACCTGGGGTCATTCTAGATTCTCTCCCATCTTCTCCGCCAGATCTGAATTGACAGCACAAGTTTTCAACTCTGTTTGCTTTCATGTGCTTTCCCCCTGCTTCTGTCTTGTTAATATCAATATTCAGCACCTCTTCTCTGTATGGCTGCAAGGACCTTCTACCTAGTCTCGGCCTCCAGTGCAGCTTTCTCAGAACCATCTCTCACGTCGTCTTACGGTGATCTTCCGAACACGCAAATCTGAGCTTGTGGTTCCTCATCTTAAAAACCTTTCATTGCTTCCTTCAGAAGCAGTTTGTAAAAGGCATCCCTTGGAAATTGAGGGTTTGTAGAACCCCTTCTGAGGCTACTGCACAGTAGAAACGGCTGTTCTTTATTACACGGAAGAGTTATGCCTGGGGTTATCTATTTTACATGCAGAGCTTCCACAAAAGCTTTTGTTGTGAGGCTAAAACATGTTTGAAAATCACTATTCTAAAATACAAAAATCCTCTCCATCTGGGAAATTGGAGGAAAAAATAAAATATAAAAATCCAATTTCTCCAGTATGACTGACAAGGTGCTCCCTCTAAGCTAGGGAAGTAACCTCATCATTCACAGTGAGCCCCTGCGTGCTCTACCCATTCCAGCCATGCTAACTTATCTGCAATCCCCAAATATGTGGTCACACTCCTGTACCTCTGCACATGCGATTCCCCGTGCCTGAAATGTCTTTTCCTTCCTAACATGTTGGCGACTTCTAAGGCTCTCAAGTATTACCTATTCTGTAATGCCTTCTCTTAGCAACTAGAAATAACCACGTACTCCCTTTGGGGTCTACTGTGTTCCAGTTATACATGCAACAAAGAAAGCCTAGAATATTTACTATCCAGCTCTTTACAAAAAAACGTTTGCTGACCCCTGTCCTAGACCTACCACATTCAGCTCATCTAAACTTTTCCCTCCCTCCCTCGCTTTTGCTATCAGAATGACAAGGCGGACTTCAGATCTGCTCAACTGCCAACAGATAAACATGAGAAAATCAGAAAGAAGACAGCTTTAGGGTATTCTGAAAGTGAATGAACATTCACTTATTAATATTACATTTCTAAATTTCAAAGAACCTCCTCCTACTCCACAGAGGTTCATAAATCCCAATGATGCCAAAACAGAATGATAAAGGTTTGGCTTAGGCAGGATAACGGGTCTTTAGAGTATGTTATGGTGCATCCTGCTCTTCTAACTCTGGGGACTAATCTGGATATAGCTCAGCTCTAACAGTGTGTGTTCTCCAGGGAAGGCCTTATGGATACTGGGAGACCAGAGGGAAACTGCTCTACTCCAAGCATTCCCTAGAAAGGGACTACAGGGGATACCCAGGACTACTAGTAAGACAGTTTCAAGTCTTATGGATGTAAGGTCTGCTTTATAGTTACAATAACTTGAAAATTTGGATTTTTCTGTATAGTAAGATATATTATTTTACTAATGTGCAATTCTATCAGATTAGAACTGGCAAAATGGCTACAAGATAGGCCTTTGAATGAAGGAAGAATGTGAGGCTTGGCTAGGAAAACTGGGATGGTTTCATACAACTACTTTAGAAAATATATTGGTTTACTTTGAATTTAGAGCTCAAATAACTCATAACGGTATCAAAAATTAATGATGGTTGTTTGTGTTTCAGTAAAAAAAACTTAACATTAAGCTTGATTTAAAGTAAGACTCCACAAGCTAGGTTTATTCTGTTTTTGTTATTTTGTTTTTATTGTTTATTTTCACTTTTGTTTTTCAAGTTCCTACTGCAAAAATTTATATTCATTCCTTTATGTTACTTAATACTGCAAAAACTTGTATTCATTCCTTTATGTTATTTAAAGGAATAGAAATGAATTATAAAACTAAATCACTTCAAGTGTTGGTTTTAGGAATACTTAAAAATACAAACGTTTTAAAATAGATTTTTTTTAGAACAAACAAAGGTTTCTTATTTTTATTTGTTTAATTTACACTTTCTTATTTACTTAAGATTTTATAAGAAAGCTTCAATTGCAGCATCAAAATCAATTAAAATGAACAAAGGACTTCGTCAGAAAAAAAAGCCTGAAACTTTTTTTGTGTGTGTGTGTGTGTGTGTGTGTGAGACAGAATCTCGTTCTGTCACCCAGGCTAGGGTGCAATGGCACGGTCTCAGCTCACTGCAAGCTCCGCCTCCTGGGTTCACGGCATTCTCCTGCCTCAGCCTCCCAAGTAGCTGAGACTACAGGCGCCCGTCACCACGCCCGGCTAATTTTGTGTGTGTGTATTTTTAGTAGAGACGGGGTTTTACCATGTTAGCCAGGATGGTCTCGATGTCCTGACCTTGTGATCCGCCCACCTCAGCCTCCCAAAGTGCTGGGATTACAGGCGTGAGCCACCGTGCCCGGCCAAAAGCCTAAAACTTTTAATAAGAAAAGGAAAAAGTGTGAAGATACTTAAACAATTTTTAAAATTAGAAATGATCTGATACCTACCAGCAGGAATAAGTAACGCGCGTGGAAGTTATGAAGCATAATAATCAGTGAACACCTGCGAGGCCATCGCCTGCTTCAGAAGAGCATGAGCAGGGCCCTCCCAATCCTGTGGCTCCTTTCCCATCCACCCCTGCTTTCTCCACTCCTACCCCAGCCCCCAGGGAACTACTATCTTGATCTTCAATCTGTTTCCTTTGTAGTTTTACCATATTTGTAGGTAGTTTGCTTGTTTTTGAACTTTACATAAATAGTATGATACTATAATTTTTTTTTTTAATTTTTACCCAACATTATGTTTCTGAGATTCACCCAGATTGATGCAGGCAGCTGTAGTTCACTTATTTTCACTGCTGCAGAAATGTCCAATGGTAGCTAATCCATTCTCCTGGTAAAAAAGTTTTCGACTTGAGTGAATATATTTTATTTTAAAAATATTAGAATTTTTAAAATTAAAACAAATAAATACAGTTGATCTAGCTTCTGCCTGCTCAAATGCAGACTTGGTTGATGGTTACACATAATGAGTATCTGGCTTTTTACTACATGAATAATTTTAATTCTATGTTTTAAGTGTTTGGAATAAGATACATGTGTAATGGCTATTGAACTGTTTAGCCTCTACCACTGGTAAAGGTGAATTTCAGTTTCATAATAATTGAATGGCAACAAAGTATTCTTTGCATGCATGTGTATAATGATCATCATTTACTAATAATCTGTAAAATATCCTACAAATGTCTTAAAAATATTTTCCTACACTAATCTGTGGAAGCCTGTGTATTATAAAACTGCAAAATTTGGTCAGCATAAGCTTAATATTACAAGATATCTAATCTTGATATGTTATTGCAAAAATAATAAAAAAAAATTTGGGTCACAGGCCCTTTCTACTTTAACACAAATATAGACATAATAATAATAATAGCTGTGTTCCAACATCGAGAGAGAGAGAGAGAGAGAGAGAGAGAGAGAGCGCGCTAGAGAGAGCGTGAGACAGACAGCATGTGTATATATGAAATATTTCAAAGATTTTTATTTCCAAAGAACTAAGAACTCATTTTCTGTTATTTTAGTGTTCTGAAACGGGAGAAAAGGACTCTTCTGTACATATGTGAGAAACAAATATTGAAAAAAAAATTTAAAAAATTGATTGTTAGTTGTAAGTTTTCACACAAGTTCATCTTCTTGGCGCATTAGTTCCTTGATCAATAAGACCAGTTCTTTAACACCATTTATCTTGAGAGTATTCTGAAAATTAATTACTAAAGGTAAGTATTCAAACTGCTAAATAATAATACCCATCAATAATAGAGATATGCCTTGGAAAGTTAACCTTGTAACCCTTTTGAGAAGATTAAAAAAACAAAAAACAATTCTCCTCCCCGTGATCTCTGTAAAACCAATAGCAGCACACATCCAGAGTTAGTATCTGTGGGTGATGTGAATTCACCTCAGCCGTCTGCCCTAATCTCCCCATCGTCTGCCCTAATCTCCCCATCGCTCCATGAAAGCAATTGAGGGCTGTTGGGGAAGCTTTGAAGGACAGTGGGTATTTAACTAAGGAAAGGTAGTTCTGGATAGGTATTAATGCTCATGTCCCTAAAGGCATAGTAAGGATTATTCCCAAAAGTGATGTCACCTTTTCCGCTTGTGCTAAAGTTTGGTTAAAGTTGATAGTGATATGACTTTTGATTTGCTTTTCCCACGTGTGAGAATGTATTGAAAATTATGTGTTATAATTGATTAAACTCTCATTCATCAAAGAATCCCATAAATTATTATATAACCCCTATAGTTCTAGTAGAAAAAAGACACTAACAACAAAAAAAAATTAAAGACATGAAGAATCACACCTAAAACAGTGTGGTAATACCTATTTTCAAAAAAATCTTAACTAAAATTCATGTCCCCTCTTAACAACCCTATTTTTTCATGTTTTTCACACAGTCACTAAAATGTGAATGCTATACTTCAAATAAGAAATGGCCACAGTAAGAAGGAACTCCTCATTCTGCCAAATGTTTTGCATGTCTGGTATGCTTTTTTCACCAGTCCAAAAAGGGAAATGATGTGAAATCATGAATGACTCAGCACAAATTCATCACCACAGCTAGAGATTCACTTTTAGACAGATATTTAATTGGTAGCTGGGTATCTGATCATAATGTATACAAAAATAGGGAGACAGAGATGCTTTCTAAGATATCTTCTTGTTTAAACAATCAATGGTTCCAGGTCAACATTTGACTGTAAAATTATTTTAAAATTATTATTATTTTTTGAGATGGAGTCTCACTCTGTTGCCCAGGCTGGAGTGCAGTGGCATGATTCCGGTTCACTGCAACCTCCACCTCCCGGGGTCAAGCGATTCTCCTGCCTCAGCCTCCCGAGTAGCTGGGATTATAGGCACGTGCCACTATGTCTGGCTAACTTTTTTGTTTTTAGTAGAGATGAGATTTCACTATGCTGGCAGGCTGGTCTCAAACTCCTGACCTCGTGATCTGCCCACCTCGGCCCCTCAAAGTGCTGGGATTACAGGCGTGAGACACCGCGCCCGGCCTATTTTTTAATTTTTAAATTTGAAATAATTTCAAACGTAGAAAAGTTGTAAGAATACTACAAAGAATTCATGAATACCCTATAACCCGATGCACTAATTAACATATGTATTATATAACTACATCTATTAATATAATTACCTAATTATAGTATAATTTTGGGAAACTTTGAGAATAAGTTGTAGACATCACGATCCTTTACCCTAAAAGCATCAGAGTGTGACTGCAGAACAATTGTCAAATTCCTTTTAATCACATAAAAGCAACAAAATGTATCCATATTAATCCCTATCTTTCAAAAGCTTTACAAATGTTGATGGGAGCAGGACACCACAAACTCCATTTCAATTTTCCTTCATTAATAACACAAACAAATAATCCACACTCCCTACATTCTCCTGAGGAATAATGAGAAAAACATGCTTCTTTTCTAAACTTCTCAGACAAAAACAGAACAAGGCAATAAGGTCTGACACACCAAAAGGATTTTTGGGAGGTTAATTCTAAGCTACTATAAATATTGACTTAGAACAAAATATCTTTTTAACTAGAATAGTAAATGCCTTTAAAGAAACACTATAATCTAAAAAGTTCATAGACATTAGGAAATAAAGGGAAATTGTTTGCACATGGCATAGAAGCTTTTTATCTGACTAACTACACAGACGCATGCAACTTTAAAATTCAGTGGCATGTTCTCCAACTAAGCAGAAAATATGCTTGTATTCTTAAACTTTAAGCAAAGGAACAACAAAATGCTATCTGCATATATTTCATCAAAAATTAAACGTATTTAAAGCTAGACTTCTTATGATTGGTTAAAAGTGTACACACAATCTTGTGTCAGAATCTGTAAATGAAAAATGTATGCAGATGTAGAAATTAATTTCTACAATGATGCACAAACTTTCCTATTAGTCCATACATGTCACTGTTTTTATAATAGATTCCTCTTTTACTAGCAAATGAAAGGATCATTTAAATGAATGCTTAGACAGCACGGGAGAGGTGGGGCAGAGAGGTTGAAAAACAAAAAAGCATACTTTTTTCAAAAAATACCTTTCTATTCGTCTGAATTTAGGTATATTTATTGTAACCAGTTCCTTGAAGTGACTCAATGCCACTAAAATTCATTCATTCACATATGGAGTGCACTCTGAATCTCACTATGGAGAGCTCTGTGTTAACTGGGACTAATTCATTCATTCACCTATGGAGTGCACTCTAAATCTCACTATGGAGAGCTCGTGTTAACTAGAACTAATTCACTCATTCGCCTATGGAGTGCACTCTGAATCTCACTATGGAGAGCTCTGTGTTAACTAGAACTAATTCACTCATTCACCTATGGAGTGCACTCTGAATCTCACTATGGAGAGCTCTGTGTTAACTAGAACTAATTCACTCATTCGCCTATGGAGGGCACTCTGAATCTCACTAGGGAGAGCTCTGTGTTAACTAGGACTAATCCACTCATTCACCTATGGAGTGCACTCTGAATCTCACTAGGGAGAGCTCTGTGTTAACTAGGACTAATCCACTCATTCACATATGGAGTGCACTCTGAATCTCACTATGGAGAGCTCTGTGTTAACTGGGACTAATTCATTCATTCACCTATGGAGTGCACTCTAAATCTCACTATGGAGAGCTCTGTGTTAACTAGAACTAATTCACTCATTCGCCTATGGAGTGCACTCTGAATCTCACTATGGAGAGCTCTGTGTTAACTGGGACTAATTCATTCATTCACCTATGGAGTGCACTCTAAATCTCACTATGGAGAGCTCGTGTTAACTAGAACTAATTCACTCATTTGCCTATGGAGTGCACTCTGAATCTCACTATGGAGAGCTCTGTGTTAACTAGAACTAATTCACTCATTCGCCTATGGAGTGCACTCTGAATCTCACTAGGGAGAGCTCTGTGTTAACTAGGACTAATCCACTCATTCACCTATGGAGTGCACTCTGAATCTCACTAGGAAGAGCTCTGTGTTAACTAGGACTAATCCACTCATTCATATATGGAGTGCACTCTGAATCTCACTATGGAGAGCTCTGTGTTAACTGGGACTAATTCATTCATTCACCTATGGAGTGCACTCTAAATCTCACTATGGAGAGCTCATGTTAACTAGAACTAATTCACTCATTCGCCTATGGAGTGCACTCTGAATCTCACTATGGAGAGCTCTGTGTTAACTAGGACTAATCCACTCATTCACCTGTGGAGTGCACTCTGAATCTCACTAGGGAGAGCTCTGTGTTAACTAGGACTAATCCGCTCATTCACCTATGGAGTGCACTCTGAATCTCACTATGGAGAGCTCTGTGTTAACTAGGACTAATCCACTCATTTGCCTATGGCGTGCACTCTTGAGTCTCACTATGGAGAGCTCTGTGTTAACTAGGACTAATTCATTCATTTGCCTATGATGTGCACTCTGAATCTCACTATGGAAAGTTCTGTGTTAACTAGGACTACAAAGACAAATAAGACATGATTGGCTGTCCTTAATCAAACACATTTTATGGCCATCAGTTCACACGGTAGGCAGGAATCTGCACAAGGTACACACGGAGCCACATCAAGGGATATGAAGGCAGGAATGGAAATGTTGGCTGGGCAGGGAACCTAACTGAAATGACACCTGGGATCGGTTCACAGAGCCAAGTTCAACCCAGCACAGCCCATTTCACCTCCCAAGACCTAAGTTTTCTCATCTGTAAAGTGTGAATACTGACATCTGACCTCCTCCAAGAGATGAAGATCTTTATTATTAGGGCCATCTCTACATGTAGTTGGCCATGTGTGGGATGATCTAAAGGGCAGGACAGAGCTACTCCTGCCCCTAAATATCTCACTGACCAACAAGCAACAGTTCCTGAAACTCTACCACTTGATTTATGTGTTTGGGTAAAGGCAGTATCTTTAAAATGTTGCTGTGAAAATATTTTTAAGACCATGAAACTAACAAATGAACAACTCTACCCTACTTTTTGAAGTGAGAAGACTGGGAAAATGGAACCGAAGTGAAACAACGTGATGGAATGTTGAGGATTAGGTGAGTGTAGAACACGGGGTATTACTACCAGGAAGGTCAGGGTCAGGCCCAGCTGGGAAGCTACTCTGAGGAGAAGAGGCTGGGGCAGTCAGGAAATAATAGGAAAACAGGCACTCGATGCTGGGAAGGAAAAGAAGGGCATGGCGTCAAAAACAATCATAATCCACTTCATCATTATATCTTCTAGTACTAAATGAGGCTAAAAAATAATTCCATTGACATCTCCTTATAAAATATTTTAAAATTGTCCTGTCTATAATGTAACAGAAATTAGACCCTTAAAACACAACTCAACATGTGTAAGTGGGTATGTATTTTTAAAATAAACCTGTTTACTTAAAAAATGAAATTACTAGCAAAGACAAGACAATTAGGCAATGACAATTCATACATTACAACCAATCAATAACACAAGAAATTAATAGTAGAGTGAATATGATGCATTATAAATTCCTAGATACACAGTGACCTGTAAAAAAGTACTATTTCACTAACATTCTGCACAATAAAAAACTAAAATGCTATATAAGCAAGCCAACCTGAAATGACACCTAGTATTATAAATGGCCTAATCTATATGTTAATACTGTTGTATCACATAACTGCAGCAAGACTAAGATAACAATATGACTTTGGGGTTTCTATGGCTACATCCTGGGCTAACGTGTCTGAAAGGGCTGGCTGCTGACACCACACAAGCATTCTGAGTGCTTCTTTTTGGTTATTTATGATATGATTTATGATAACGACAACATCTCCTATTTTCTCTCCTCCTCAGATACAATAAATTGCTATCGTTAATCACTCTTCTTGGTTCAACTATGATTACAATAGCATAATAGGGCCTGGCTATGGTAATATGGTGGATTTTTTTTTTGCAAGAAATAAATACAAGTAGATCTCTTCAGACAATGTCAATATCTCTAATATTTTAATCATCTTCCTTTAAGTCTTTCAGGATAAATTCTGTTACAACTAAGATTCCATATCCAGGATGTAGGCCCTTTGTGCAAATCAAATTTATAATCAAACACCACACATTCACAAATCACTATCATCATGATTTTCCTAGACTTAAAATAGTAAGACTATGCATAGGATACAGTTTATTTTACAGACAATAGTATTGTTCTGTAGGGATGAAACTAATCTCATTGCAATTCCTTTCCCCACCCCAGGAATAAGACAAATTAGGCAAATTAGCCATTTATCTATCAGAAAGTGAAACAATAGAAACAGAATAAAAACCCTACAATCATAGAGACATGTATGATGTGCCTCTGCCAATTATTGGGCTATGTGGTTCCTTCATCCTTCTGAACTTCAGTTTCCTCTTAATGCCAGTTTGGGTTAACAGAAAGTACTACCTCTTTGGCTTTTGAGTAACAGTAAGACAAAGTATGTAAAAAATGAGTTTGTATATAAACGACTTAGTATGAGAAGTACGAGTCAGACTGTAAAAATGAACAGACATTCTTCCCCTCCCTGCATCTATGCCCTTCCACTGGGCTTCTACAGCTGTTCTCATCAAGAGGTGGACATGATTTTGGGTGGCTGTGTGACTTGCTTTGGCCAATGGGCAAATGTGACAGAAGCAGAGGCATGGAAAGCGGCTGCACACTAAGGACTTGCCTTCCTGCTGCTCTTGGGAAACCTGCAACCACTGCCACAGGAATGAGCCCAGGTTAGCCTGCGGGGTGATGAAGTGTGTGGCCCAGAGCCCCAGCCAAAGCACCAGGCATAGGAGCAAAGCCACTGACCACCAGCCAACAGTAAATGTATGGGTGATCCCAGCCTCGTCCAGCAGAAGAGCCGCATGGCTGAGCCAACCCAAAATGCAAACTCATGGAATTGTAAGCTAGTAAACGGTTGCTGTTTTAAGCTGCTAAAGTTTGGGGGTGGCTTGTTACACAACAGCATGTTAGCTATGTATTCATATGTACACATACTGTCACTTGTTATTTGCAGTAGTTATGGTAACACTGAACTAACAAATACTGAACCACTGCTCTTAAGAGAAATACACGGTTAGGTTCCTATAAGTCTCTGGTCACAACATTTTCATCAGCTAATCGATGCATACCCTTGTTTTACATGTGCTTCTGCTTAAAGACACCTTATCTAAGATATTAATGATGCATTAACATTGAACTCCCAGTGCACAGCACTGTAACTCATGCCTAGAAGAGGCTTATGTAACACATGCATTTTCTCTATGAGGCACATCACAGCCTCTGGCACTGGGACCACTAGACAGGACTTCAGCACTATGCTTTGGGGCCATTTTAAACACAAAATCACCAACAAAAGCACAGAATGAGAAAAACATGGCACTACTGAGATGGTGAAAACCACACTTCCTTATAGTGCGAGAGCTGACACCAAAGGCAGAGTGCTGCCTTGCTCGACCTCAGCTGGGAACAGGCAACGCATGCGACTGAATTTTTGCTGCTCTGCATGTCTTCAAATGATTGTGAGAAACAGAATCTGTGCATAATGAGGATAACTGTATATAACTACATGGATATACACTCATCAACATCCAGTACTTTTACGGACTACTGACTTAAAAGAAAAGATTTTGCTTGAAAGTGATTCCATCCTCAGAAGCATTTCATGAAAAGAATAAATATGCTTCATGAACTAAAACACTATGACTGTATCTGGTAAGACGTTTCTCTAAATCCAAATTAGGACATGTTTGAGTTTAATTCAAAGAACTAGCCACGTGAGGAACTTTCTGCTCGAGACACACAATTATTCTCCGAACTTCTGGAAGGTGCCAAGGTCTTTCCCTCCACAGGGTCTTCATGCCCACATATTCTGCTCCCCTCCCATGGGAACACTCTTCCCTGGGTCGTTCTATATTTCTCTATCTCTCTCCCTTTAAGTCTCAAGAGTAATACTGTCTTTTCAAAGACATATTCTCTGGTCATTCTACATCCCCAAAATAAGGAGTCGCAATTTATAACTGTTTGACTGTTCATGCATTTCTTGTCTGTTTCCCCAACAAAGCTTCACTGATACGGGAACCACATCTGCCTTCTGCTGCTAAACCACCATTACAGGCTAATAATAAGTACTTTCTCCAGCAGTGCTATTATTAGAAAAATGAGAGAAACGATTTCACCATGTATCATTGACTCTAATTTATTAAAATGTGAAAACAAAAATGTGCATCTCTGAAATTGGGCCATCTTTTCTAACCAGTAGTATCTTCCTATCTTTATTGGACAGGCAGTGGTGATGCGCAGTCACTGCCTGCCGATGGGTGAACTTGACTGTTACTCCTGGTAGAATGACTGGCCACTGCAACCCTTCTATGTTTCAGTCAACAAACCATTTAAGAAATTTGAAGTATTTGGTCTATGCAGTTAAAAAAATGTTTTATAGAAGAAAGAATTGCTTCACAGTCTAATTGGCAATGTTTTGGTTTTGTTTGTTTGTTTTTACCTTAGTGGTACATAAATGAATGGTGTGTCTTACAACTGATATCTCAGGATCAACGGAATTTTACAGTTGTTTCAAGTTACTATTAAATTCTTACTGTGTTCCTTCTATGTAAAATGAAGACATTGTTCTAGTTATTAAAGCAACATGAAAGTGGACATTCTAAAATCCAAGTGTCAAAGAAGGGAGGACTTACATAATGCGATGCAAAGGGAAAGGCTAGGACAGGTGGGGGCCTGCTTGGCTGTTGCCCTAAGTGCTCCATTCTCTCCCTTCTTGTGTCCACTTATATATAAGACACCCAGGCATCCATGAGTAGGCCTGGTACACAATCCTGTCGAAGAGGCTGACTTGCCTGCCACATGGCCTCTGTCCTGGGGACAGTGCTAAGCAGCCCACTCTTTATTTCCGGCTGTGCTTTATTATTAAGGCAGCATTTCGTTACAGTGGAAACAGCAAAGGGCAAGTGGACTCTGATTTACAGAACCAGCCCCTTCCTCTTTCTCTGTGATGGTGAGCACAAGGTTCTTCATCTGTGCACGCACAGACACTCACACAATAATGCTGAGCCCACTTACTTCACAGGATCATCAAGAGCAGTCGATAAAAAAGTAATGGGAAATCATCCTGACACTGTTGACCCGAGAGCGGCTGTCAGCAGCGGCGGCAGCAGCCGGGCACAGCTCTTGCTCCCCACCCGCCCAGCACCTCTGCGCGTCAGTCCCTCTGAGGAAGCTGTTCCTACACTTGCTTTTTTCCCTCTTTTCCCCAACTATGCATGTATAATCCTGGAGATTTTAACAAAACCATTTAATAAAGAAAGCTCAGTATAATGACACAATGACTGTTAGGAAGCAAGATTCGAAAGAAAAACAAATTTAGGGTGACTCAAGTTTGAACTGGTAAGATAAACATTAGTTCAGTACCCAGTGATAAATTTGATAGGGAAAAAGATCAGTATTTAAGCTTTTGGTTGTTATGTATCTATCCCTGTCTCATTCCAACAACTCCAAACATCTTCCTATTTAGGAGGCAGCCTGTAAAATCTGCTGCTAGTCTCTCAAAATTTGGTGAGTCAAAACACCCAACACACTAGGAGACCATCCATATGCAAAAGCCACAAAACAAGCAATTCAGGATTTAAAGATTATTATGAGAAAAATGCTATGAAATTACAATCAACTCTTTCCTGGCCTGGATGAGGAACCAGGGAGAGCAGCAGAACAGTTCATCCATCTATGAGTAATAATAGAAAGTTATCACATCCATCATATACAGAATAAACATTCTTAAAATCAGACGAAGGCTGGGCGCACTGGTTCATGCCTGTAATCCCAACACTTTAAGAGGCTGAGGCAGGAGGACTGCTTGAAGCTGGGAGTTCAAGACCAGCCTGGGCAACAAGAAAGATCTTGTCTCTAAAAAAAAAAAAAAGAAAGAAAGAAAAGAAAAGAAAAAAAAAATTAGTAGGGCCCAGTGGTGCCCACCTGTGGACCCAGCTACTCGGGAGGCTGGGGCCAGAGGATTGCTTGAACCTAAGAGTTCGAGGTCGCAGTGAACTATGTTCGTACCACTGCGTTCCAGCCGGGGCAACAGAGTGAGACCCTGTCTCCAAAAAAAAAAAAAATCAGAGTCATAAAGTACTATATTTAACAATAAAACCACTTGAGACAATTTAAACTTTCTTTAATAAAAGGTATGTCAGGAAGTTATAGTGCGTCAACATAGAATTGTGAACGTCATTTCCTGTCTGTACATGGGTGATTTCAGTTAGACTGTTGGCTAAGAAAATGCTAAATATGACCGCTGCTTCTTCACATAAAGCCATGTGATGGATGAGGCTGGAATTGACTCTCCAACTCCGAATCCCAAATCAGATCATTTCCCTGCTCAAAAGCCTCCAGTGCTTCCTGTCACCACTGGAATAAAGCCCCAGCTCCTTGCCATGGCCTCTGAGGTCTTGGAAGGTCTGGCCCCATCCTCCTTCTTAGCTGCCTTCATCAAGCCATGCTGGCATCTTCGATGCTTCTCAAACTCACCAAGCTTCTCCCCAACGCTCTCGCAGCAGCCCCAGTGCTGTTCCTCCAGGTCGGCTCACGGCTGCTTCTCTCGTATTATTTGGCTCTCTAATGTCACCCCTCAGTGAAGCCGTCTCTGATCACTGCACATTGCAATCAACTCGCCTCCCAGTAGCTTTCTTACCTGGCCTCATTGCCACTGCACTCCCTTACCTAACACCACAGAATGTTTGCTTAGCTATTTTTTGTCTCCCTCACCAAAATGCAATAAGCTTCATGCTGGAAGGAACTACACCTTTTAGACTATTCCCAGAGTCTAAACAGCGCCTAACCCAGAGAAGGCCCTCACAGCTGCTGATGGAAAGCTCTTAACCGCACTATCCGGCCTGCGGTGGGGGCTGGAGGGGCCGTGCATGCAGGAAAGGTGACCTGCAGATTGCACAGCAGAGCAGAGAACCAAGGGCAGGATTCTAGGGCTGCCGACATTTCAATAACAGCAGAAGAGGGGCCGGAGAAGGAGATGGGACAGCCAATGAGTTGGAGGAAAATCAGAAAAGATTAAAACAACAACAATGAAGAGAAAGTATAAGCAAGTATAAGAAAGAAAAGTTGTGGCCAGGCGAGGTGGCTCATGCCTGTAATGCCAGCACTTTGGGAGGCTGAGGTGAGAGGATCTCTTAAGGCCAGGAGTTCCAGACCAGCCTGGGCAGTGTAGCGAGAATCCGCCTCCAAAAACAAACAAATAATTATTTTTTTAAAAAAAGAAAAGTTTTAACGAGTAGGGTAAGTATTCCATTGTGTCCAATATTAGAAAAGCATCAAATATACAAAAAAAGTTGTTATAATCATTGTGATACATGCTTTGAAATAAACAGGATAAAGGAATGGAAAATAACAACTGGGAAGGTGGTAGTGATGTAGAGTGCCACTTTCCTTCTTTTTTTTTCGTTTGAGACCAGGGTCTTACTCTGTCACCCAGGATGGAGTGCAGTGGCACAATCATGGCTCACTGCAGCCTCCACCTCCTGGGTCCAAGTGATCCTCCCACCTCAGCATTCCAAGTAGCTGGGACCAAGGACATGTGCTACTACGCCTGGATAATTTTTGTATTTTCATACAGACGAGGTTTGGCCACGTCGCCCAGGCTGGTCTCAAACTTCTGAGCTCAAATAATCTGCCTGCCTCGGCCTCCCAATGTGCTGGGATTACAGGCATGAGCCATGGTGCCTGGCCCACCACCTTCTTAAATAGAATGAAGCAACTATGTGAATACTGATTAATGAAACTGAGATGGGAATAACCAAAACAGCCAGTCAGAGACAAGCCAGGGAAAGTACTCCAGGTGCAGGGACAGCATGTGGACAGCCATACTGCGTAACGAGTTTTGTGTCTGAGGCATGGGAAGGAGCAGGTGAAGGCAAGAGGAAAGGAGGTGGGTTGGGTAGGTCAAGAGAGCTTCATGGATCATGGGAAAGAGTGTGAATTTTATTTGAAGGGTATAGGAAGTCACCGGTAGTTTTAAAATAGTTTGATCTAGTTTCGAGAAAGATGACTCTAGCAGCTGTGTAGAGGATGCAGTGACGTTATGGATGACCCGAGAGGGTGGCTTCAGCCCCACAGAGGAGGCCAAGGCAGGAGGACAGTCAGGGTCAGGTGTGCATAACAAGGTCAAGGCAATCTCATCCATCCATTCATTCAACAAATATTTGTTAAGATCTGTGTCCGCCTGGCAATGCGGAGGTTAACAAACAAAAGACAAGGTTTCTCTATTCATAGATTTTACTAGCAGGGCAGATAGGCAACAACAAATACAAAAGGAAAATTCACAGTAAGTGCTAGGGAGACAGTAAAATGGGATAATGTGTGTGGAGAGAAAAAGGGCGACTTTAGACAGGACAGTCACTGTCTAAAGATGGAGAAGAGATGTTTCAGCTGAGAGCTGATTCAGGAGGAAGACCAGCTGTGTGATGATGTCATGAACAAGCATTTCAGGGGCAGAGGAGCAAGGGCACACCCTTGCTGCTGGGACAGCCTTCTCAGGATGTAGCCGGGTGGGTAGTTACTGTAGGGGTGGGAGGAGGTAGGGGGCTGCAGTGCGAGGGCAGGCCTGGCCTCCCTGCGGCATCTAGAGAGTGTCTGCGGCCAAAGGGAATCCACTTAACTAGAAGAAGGGAAGATACCAAGGAAGGCAGGTAGAGAAAGCTGAGGAAAGGTCTTAAAATGCTCACTATGCAGGTAAACAAGATAAATTAGGTAAGTCAAACAAACAAAAGACCTGGAAAATAACAGTTTTTTTAATCCACTAATGGGAAAAAATGCCACAGTAATAAGTAAATAAGATGACTGGTCAGATTTAAAACAACCACACCCAATAGGAAATCAGTTATTCTGTGAAATGGCACACAAACAAAAACTCACTAGGCAAACAGGATTAGCATCCCTCTGTTCACATTTCATAAGGTGAGACAAACTGACCTAACTCCAAAAACTGCAATCCAGTCCTCTAATGCCACGGGTGCCAGAGGCCAGTGCACTTCAGACTGTGCATCGGGAAAGGCTGCCCATCTCTGGGACAAAGCCTTATCCTATTTTGTGCAGTTTACTACCAAAAAAAATGAAAATAGAGTAAAAAATTACAACTACAGTTATGTAGTCCGATGCTATGTTTTCATGCTGCCCATATTTCTAGGTAGAGACTAATATATATACCTTTAACCAAATCTTTATTCTAATGTAAGATTATCCTAGTGCTCTAAATGACCTTGACAAAATTCTGGAAAAAAATATCTCAAGACCTGGGGCTCTAAAGCTATTTTAGAATTAACTCTGAATAATTGTCCCAAAATATGAGTTTCTTGATTAATTGCTTAAGATAAGGTCTCCCTTTCCTTGTGGCCTCCAGTGGCTCCCTCTAGTTCCCATAATCACTTTTGTCTAATTCTTCTATACCCTGGAAGGCTAAGAGAAAAATCACAGATATACCAATTCCATTACTTGAGGATTAGCTAAGAGATAACCCTTTGTATTCCATTACTGACCATTATTTGAGTAATTATTCAATAACTATGGTACATTTGAAAGATGCACTAATTGTTTTCTGAGGCTCACTCCTGCTCTATCTCAGACAAAGTTAGACCTGCTATGTCCTTTAACGTTGCAAATCTACATTTGGGTTACATGAAAAAAATGCGTAGTAACTTTTACTGCGTTTCATTTTTTATTTCTTTCTCTTAATAAAAAGTAAAAGATAAAACAAGAATAATTAGTCTGTTGATGGTCTTACTGACTAACTAGAAAATTAGGACTCTATTTTTGACCAGATTTATGTCTTACAAGAGTCAAATTTCTGCATAATTTAGACAGAAAATTGGCAGGGGATGGCTGTTCCATCTAATTTCAGCAAAATTAGCATTCAGCCACCTGAATTTTTGGCAGTATTCCAGTATGTTTATCCAACGCAGTAAGTAGACAGAAAATAAAATTGACAATCATGCCTAAACAAGGTAGTTTTTCATCTACCTTTTCCCTCCCCCCCACAACACACACACACACACACACACACACACACACACACACACACAAGCATGAACATTTTAAAAAATCAGTGAATAATTTCAAAAGTACATTTCATGAATGGATTCATGGTTTTGCATTCTTCCTCTTACGCATATCAATTGCAGAAAGAACAAGAAAACCCACCCCCTTTTCAAAGTATAAAGAACCCTATTATAATGAGCTGACTCATCTTGGTTTACTAGGGGTAATGATTTTTTAGAAATTGCTCATCCTCCAAATAAAGCAAATCAGTTATATCAGTTCCTGACTATCTGTGGTAATAGATGGAAATGATAGTGACAGTAATTCCAAATTCATTAGTATTTTGCTTTGGAATACATCCTAATAAAAAGCTGAAAACACACACAACTAATTTTTGCTTACCTTTCTCTCCTTGTAGAATTATATTTGGTTGGTACAGAAGTGAAAAAGCCAAGAGGCACAAATGATGCATTTAATGTGTACTGAGCACCTACCATCTGTATGCCTTGAGCTCAGAGGAAATGACAAGTATTTATTCTTCAAGCCCATCTTAATTTGTGTCTAGCAGTGTGCAAGTTTGGTGGCTCTCAGGCACTCCTGGCAGCTAGAACAGAACTGGCAAGGACAATGAAGCATGGTGTGAGGTTTGGAAGCCATGGTTTTAAGGCTGGCAAAAGAGGGGCTCCCACTCAGCAAGTGTATCTTGTACACCTACTATCAAGGTGTATCAAGGGTGCTAAGAAGGCAAATACAAAAAACACCCTCCAAATGTTTACCCAGGAAAAACTTACGAACTAGGAAACAAACGTATCATCTAAAATGTCAGAGTTTGCAATGCTAAGGAGCAAGCAGAACGTGATGCGTAGGAGCCAGAATCAGAAGACAGAAGCCAAGAAACCAAGCAAGGTGAGGCCAACATCGAGCGCCTGTTTCATTCAAGGCAACGGCAAAGGCAGCGCTGGAGGCCGAGTGGAGTTCTCAGAGTCTCACGGAGCTACAGGGAACCGGAACCACAGGATTGGACTCCTTTGATCTGAGCAGGATCACAACCGCTGCTAAGTAAGGACAGACTTTCGGGAGTAAACAAACACAGACACAGAAAGAAACTGGACTGGACGGCAACTGTAGCAACTCAGGAGAGATGACTGTGGTTGAATGGGACAGTCAGGGCTGTGACGAAGGTCAAATTCCTGTTAAGAGCAGAAGACCTGCACAGACAGCCTACAGCTGAAATCCAACCTGCAAATGTGATTTTTGTGTATGTGGGCTGCACAATGTTCTAAACATTTTAAATTCACTTCTAAGAGTTAAGAGCCCAAAAACGACAAAAAAAAATTTTTTTAACTAAATTTCCTGCCTTTACTAAAACATCACAAGATCTAGAACTCCGTGCCCACACGCCTCGGCTGCCCACTTGGGATGGGGCCCCTGGATTTCACTGTCACCACATTCCCCAGCGCTTCTTGGGATCTGTGTTTGCAACCCCTAACAAGAGAGCTGGAGATGGACCTAGCCCAGGATTTTCTCAGTCAGCAATGTCCTAGGACTCGCTTGGATTCCCTCAAGTTTTCTCCAGGAAAACCCAGCGGATTTTGTTTCAGAAAGCAAAGCTTATAATTTTATGGGTAAATCAGCAAGACTGTGTTACACTGCTGTTACTCACATAAAGCAACGTCATATAAACATACAAGTACATTTTGAAATGTTCTGGCTGAAAAAAATGTATTATAATTTTCAGCTGAAAAAAACCTGAACTACCAGAGATAAGTTCTATAAATAAGCCAATGAAATTTAATTAAAGCAGATGGCTTAAAATATGTTTGATAAAATATTTACCCTAAGTATCTTTTCAGATAAGTAATATTTATATACTCATTCTATATGGGAAGCTCGACTGAAATCGACAAAACGCAATTTATGCATCGTCACGGGTGATTGCTAGACTGACTCTCCTTTTCCCTGGCTCTCACAGAGGGATGTCTTCCAAATCAGAATTATAAGAACATAACTAATAGAACATTACAGAACTTAATAAAAATGTCAACTTGTCACCTCTTGAGATATAACTGAAGTGGAGGCACATGATACAACCCCACTTGTGAAGCAAAAAAACTGACCTCAAAACAAATATTCCTGACTCCTTGAAGCTGTAGTAAATTTGACACTTTGGGAGAAAATGATGAGAAGTAATTGAATATATAATTATTAAAAACAAAAAGAGTTCCAAAGTAAAATTTTACTAACTTTAAGAAACTAGGACCCCAGAGCCAGATCCAACACAAGGATGTCTCTCCCCTCTGTTGCTGACACACATGCTCCAGGCTCTCTAAGACCAAGCACCCACGAGTGTAAAAACCCAGCTACCACAACCCTGCCCTTTTCCTCAACACTGCCACCCAGTTCAAGTAAATAAGTTCTTGTATTTACTGACCCCATGAGAACTTACTATTTTCCCGACCTAACAGACACAGTCAGAAGGAAAGGATTTCACAGCCTCGAAGGCATCGGCGCAGCAAGGATGTCCAGGATGATGAGGATACAGTGAGGCAGTGGCGAAGCAGAGGGCAGTGGCTCTTCCTCCTTTGTCAGATTGTGCCAAAGAGCACATTTACCTTGATTACTACACGGCCCACTCAACTCTGAAACTCTTCACTCTCTGACCTGCCCCAGCCATTCACTGGAAACACTTTCCCCATGGTCCCCTGTAGCATCCTCATGTGCAGTTACAAATAATCCCCACCCTGCTGACCTGTATCTAGCAACAACTGCTGATCACTTTTCCTCTTTCTTGAAATTTTATTTTGTTATTCATTTGAAGTTTAATTCAACAAATATTTACTGTATGCCTATTCGATGCCAAACAGTAAAGAAATACTAGAGAGGAAAGACATTCTACCTGTCAGCAAATTTGATCTAGCAGGCTAAACGTGGTCACTCAGCTTGCTGGATTAATCCTCCTGAAAGACAGCTCTCCCAGTGGAAATCTCTCAATGATTCCCATGCCTTACCTTCAGCTTCATATTTGTGGCTCTCTATGTTTCCAACCTAACTTTTACTCTTATCTTCCTTGACTTTTCTTCCTTCCAGCAGCACTGCACCACTTCAACAGGTCATGAGCTTTCCACTTCTGTATTTTATATTGTTTTCTTTTTCTTTTCTTCTTTTTTTTTTTCTTTTTTGAGACAGGGTCTTGCTCTGTCTTCCAGGCTGGAGTGCAGTGGTGTGATCATAGCTCACTGCAGCCTCAAACTCCTGGGTCCAAGTGATCCTCTTACCTCAGTCTCCCAAGTAGCTGGAACAGCCATGCACCATCATACCCAGCTAATTTTTCTGTTTTTAATTTTTTGCAGAGACAGGGTCTTGCTCTGTTGCTCAGGCTGGTCTCAAACTCCTGGGCTCAAATGATCCTCCCATCTCAGCCTCCCAAAGTGCTAGGATTACTGGCATAAGCCACCATGCCTGGCCACTATGTTATTTCTTAACTGGAATGCTTTTTTTCTTATCTACTTTACAAGAACTGTCTCAAATAATAATTCCCTTCATAAAACTGCTCCCAATCTGATTTGCACTATCCATTCCTCAAATCTCCACGGCTGTTTCTAACTTTATGAGAACTGCACACTGTTTTTTATACAGTTGTTTATCGGAGTTATCCAGGATTAGGAAACTATAAGCTTATCAAAGGCATGGACTGTGTCTTAAATCATTTTTGTCTTCTGAACCTTTTAATCTAAATCTATAAATATTCATCAGATAGTTATTATATGCATGGCATCATGCTAAAAATATACTGGGTGCTTAAATATCTATTAGATTTAATTAAATTGAGACTGAATCATCTGGTAGTTTCCTGATAAGAGATGTATGGGAAGTAAATGTTTTCAGACTCCACATGTCTAAAATGTCCCTATTCTACCCTCTGACCTAACAGCGTGGTTGAAAATAGAATTTAAGGTTGAAATTATTTCACTCAAAATTCTGATGGTATGTACTACCATCTTCTAACCTTCACACCACTGCTCCTTCATTCTGACTCCATTATGAATTGCAGTCCTTTGTATGTGACTGGCAAGCACATATAATTTCCTCCTAATCTCTGGTTTCCTCTAATTCGCAATAATGTGCCTTGGTATGCATTTTTATTCAGTCATTGTTATGGGTACCTTTTAGACTCTTGTAATATAGATTTATACGTTTTTCTTCTGAAAAATTTTCTTGTGTTATTTCTTTGATAATTTCATTTCCTTTAGTTTCATTGTTCTCTCTTCTTAGGACTCCTTTTAGTTGGCTATAGGACCTCATGAATTAACTCTGTAGTTTTCTCACACTTTTTTCTCTCCTATCGTTCCTCTCTTTATCTAACTGTTCAGGTTTCCTTGACTTTATCTTAAAAACCCCTCTATAGAACATTTTCTTTTGGTTATTATATTTTTAATTTCTAACTTGCTCTGGCTCTTTGACAGCTGGTTCCTCTGACATTTTCTGCTCTTGTCTCTTGGAAGGGGTGTAGGTAGAGGTGTGTGTGTGTGTGTGTGTGTGTGTGTGTGTGTGTGTGTGTGTAGTTTTCTTCTATTTCCTACATTGTCTCTATTTCTGAGGTTTCAGCTTCTGCTTTTCATGTGGGATACCTTTCATTTCTGGTAGTTACTGGGTGTTTAAGCGTGAGTCGCTGGACACTCTACATGTAAAATGTTTGGGACTTTGCTAACTGGCGGGCTACATTGTAAGATAATCTAGCTCTAAAATGTTATTGTCAGTATGTATTTTCCCTGGGAAAGCTCAGTTTTTTCAGAGAATCCTCCAATTTCCTACACAGTAGGAGTCTGATGGAGAAAAGGGAGGAAAGTCTCACCTGTTCAGTGTGGAGACTGACACCTAGACTGCATTTCAGTACTGAGCCCAACTCAATACTTGGCACTCAATGTTTAGCCAATAAACTAAAATGTTGAGTTTACTAAAAATTCAAATGTTTTTGCTAATAAACAAACATGCACAAACAGACTTTTATATCTTTTACATCCCTGCCTTCTGGAGTTCCTGATGACCCCTGTTTCTGAACTCTTGGAGAGCAATCATCTTGTTTCCCATAATCTTCTCTGCAGGCTGGTATGTTTTAGCTTCCTCTACTCTGCTAAGTCAGTTCCCACTTTCCATCTCTTCCCTTGCTCTATTATCCTTACGGCTTTATACATTTTTTAGTATCTTCCTATCATTGTAGTGGGGTTTAGGAAGAAGCACAAATGAACTCATGGGTCAATCCACAATGACAAACAGAAATCTCCGCTCCCTCAGGATTTAACTCCACTGTTCCTGAGGTTCAGTTATTGATCAACTTGCAGTCTCTTTCAACACTTAACATTCGGCAGTTTCATCTCTTCTCATGAGCTTAGCTGTCACTTTAATGTTGCTGACTCCTAAATCTTTATCTTCAAGATTCCTCCTCTCTTATCTCAGTTTCATTTGCTTTCATTTCCTACTAGGCATCTTGGCTTGACTATTTCACTATCATTTCAAATTCAACAGGTCATAAATTGGCCTCATTATTTCTCTGTTAAAGGAGGCTCACGTTTTCTTTTTTTTGTCTGACTGGCCGTTCAAATTCTCTCAGTCAACTAGAGACATGAGTTTTCAAGCCTTCCCACTCACCATCCATATCTAGTCACTAAACAAGTATTATTCATTTCCCTTCAAAAAATCTCCTGTAATCACCATTTTCTTTATTATTCCCATTGGCTACCTTAGGCGAGGCCCGCCCATCACATTGCCCCTGAACTAAAATATAACAGCCTGATAACCATCAAGAGTCCACCTCCACCCTGTCCTCCTGCGCAGTGGGGCCCATGTCCTGCCAATGCTGTCTTCTTATCCCCACACACCTCCCCATCCCTAGCCACACCAAACTCCCAAGGCTCTCCACTGCTTCAAGTTAGGGATTTTTAAACTCCATGAATCTTTAGGCAGGGATGCCACAGATGATTTAACCTATCTAAAAATATATGTTTATTGTTTTAAATCATAGGACTCTAAGTTTTATTTTGTTGAAAAAATGTTTTATTAATAAAGACATTCATACTTCACATCTAAATACAGGTATCTTATTCTGGGATTTAAAGCACTAAACAAGCTGGCCACCATCTATTGCAAAATCCCCTCTAAGCGGCCCTCAATATAAACCCCATTTCCAAGCAGGATGTTCCACTGACTGGTCTTAAAAGCGGGTTCTGTTCCTTCCAAATTATGCAACCTTGCGTACCTTATTTAACCTCACTGTTCCTTTGCCGACACTTCTACAAAAGAGCATAAAAAAAGTACCCCTTTTCTAGCTAAGAATAAACAAGTTAAAGCATGTAAGAGTGCTGAGCACAGGGCCTGACTCATAGTAAGTGCTCTTGAAATGTTAGGTGCTGTGACTATTACTATTCCCTGTGACCTGTGTGTGTGATTCCCTCTCACCTGTTACTCATCCTTCAGGATGGAGCACAACTGTGAGGAAAAGACAAGCCACAGACTATGAGAAAAATATATTTACAAGGCGTATCTGATAAAGGACTGTCACCTAAATATACAAACAAATTTTAAAACTCAACAACAAAAAAATGAACCATTCAATTTAAAAATGGGCAAAAGACCTGAACAGACACTTTACCAAAGACATATACAGATGGCAAATAGGCACAGGAAAAGATGAAAAGATGTTCCACATTATATGTTATTAGGAGAATGGAAATTAAAACAACAATATCCCACTACACACCTATTAGAATGACCAAAAGCCGAAACACTGCCAACACCAAATCCTGGAAAGAATGCAGAGTGACAGGAACTCTCATTCATTGCCAGTGGAAATGCAAAATGATACAGCCAATTAGGAAGACAGTTTGGCAGTTTCTTACAAAACTAAACATACTCTTACCATAGGATCCAGCAATCACACTCCCTGGCATTTACCCAAATGAACTGAAAACTTATGTCCCCACAAAAACCTGCAAACAGATATTTAAAGCAGCTTTATTCAACTGCCAAAACTTGGAAACAATGAAGAGGTCGCTCATTTGGTGAATGAATAAACTGTGCTACATTCAGACAACGGAATATTATTCAGCACTAAAAAGAAATGAAGTATAAAGCCATAAAAAGATACAGAGGAATCTGAAATGCATATTGGTAAGTGAAAGAAGTCAAACTGAGAAGGCCACATACTGTGTGATTCCAATTATGGCATTCTGGGAAAGGTAAAATTATGAATACAGTTTCCAAAAAAAAAAATCAATGGATGCCAGCGGGTACAGGGAGGGAGGGATGAAGAGAAGCAGCAAAGAGGATGTTGATAGCAGTACAACTAGTCTGTATGATACTGCAATGGTAGATACATGTCTTTATACGTTTGTCCAAACCCATGGAATGTACAACACCAAGAGCAACCCCTAATGTAAACTGTGGTCTCTGCTGACTATGATGTGCCAGTGTAGTTTCATCAGTTATAATAAATGTGCCACTCTGGTGGGGGATGTTGATAGTGGGGGAGGCTGTGGAGGGAGCAGGCAGTGGGTGAATGGGAACCCTCAGTACTTTCTGTTCAATTTTACTGGGAACTCAAAACTGCTCTAAATAATAAAGTCTATTAAGAAAAAAAAAAAAAGATGCAGCTCAGGTCCTACCCTCTTCTGATATGCCAATCCATAGAAATCTCTGCTTTTTCTTAACTCTAAAAGAATTTGCTGACATTTGATCCTTAATCGTATAATGCTTTAAACTGTAAGAGAAATCCCCGTCTTATCTCCCCAACTAGAAGCTCCCAGGGATGACATTTTATAGCTTTTGACAGACCCCACAATGCCTAGTAAATTACAAAAAAGAAAAAGAGAAATGAAAAATTTCAATTAAGCAAGGATTGTTTTACTTCAGGAAAATATTGTTACTGTGCTTGTTTCATTCCCAGAGTCTTGAAAGCAACGCGCACACAGCTAATGCTCTGTCTTCAGGGCCCGTCTTCCTTGTTGTCCCCTGGGTTCACGTGTTATTTGAATACTGTGGTTAGAGTCACGTCTTCTCTCTGTTTTACGATACAATCACACTAGTCCAGGACACCGCCGTGTCTCTTAGATTATCCCCACAGCCTCCATCAGGACTTGCTGCTTCCCTCCGTGAGCCCCTACAATCGGCAGCCCAAATGAGACTCGAGAGTGCTCTACTCCTCCACGCAGGGCTTCCCCGAGCTTCCCATCTCCCAATCCTACCTGAAGCCCTCGTCATGGTCTATAAACACCCTCTGTACTAGGCCATTTTTATCTCCCTCTCCCTCGTTCAGGTCCAGTTGCACTTTTCTCCTGAATCAATGAGAAGTCTTCAGCCTCAAGGCCTGGAATCTGCGCTTCCTCTCTTTGGAATGTGCTTCCCCAGTGGACCTGTAGGGCCTCTCCCTGATTCCCGTAAGTCCCTATTTAATTCTCACTTATCAGAGCCCCCTTCCCTGAATATCTAAAATATGAACCCCCCAGTATTCTCTGGCCCTCTACTTAGCTTTAGCTTGCTTGCTTTATTTATTTATTTATTTGAGACGTTGTCTCTCTCTGTCACTCAGGCTGGAGTGCAGTGGCGCGATCTCGGCTCACTGCAAGCTCCGCCTCCCGGGTTCACGCCATTCTCCTGCCTCAGCCTCCTGAGTAGCTGGGACTACAGGCGCCCGCCACCACGCCAGGCTATTTTTTGTATTTTTAGTCAAGACGGGGTTTCACCATGGTCTCGATCTCCTGACCTCGTGATCTGCCCGCCTCGGCCTCCCAAAGTGCTGAGATTACAGGCATAAGCCACCGCGCCTGGCCGCTTTATTTTTCTTCTATTTATTTATTTATTTATTTATTTAGAAACAGAGTTTTGCTGTTGCCCAGGCTGGAGTGCAGTGGCACGATCTTGGCTCACTGCAACCTCTGCCTCCCAGGTTCAAGCGATTCTCATGTCTCACCCTCCTGAGTAGCTGGGATTACAGGCGCGCACCAGCACGCACAGCTGATTTTTGTATTTTTAATAGAAATGCGGTTTCACCATGTTGGCCAGGCTGGTCTTGAACTCCTGACCTCAAGTGATCCACCGTCCTTGGCCTCCAGAAGTGCTGGCATTACAGGCATGAGCCACTGTGCCCAGCCTCTTCTTAGTATTTATTAATATTTATTGTTTTATGTGTTTTTTCCCCCAGACAAAGCTTCATGACGGTACAGACTTTGGTTTTATTCACTGATGTATTTTCAGCACCTAGAACATGCCTGCCGCATGGGAGGGGCTCAATGAATATTTTTGAAATGAATAGATTAGTTAGTAAACTGATCGCATTTGATGTTTACAACTGCAATTATTACTGCTCTATATCATAGTACTTTTAAATATTAAAGGAAGGGAGGTGGGGTGCAGTGGCTCACACCTGTAATCCCAGCACTTTGGGAGGCCAAGACAGGTGGATCACTTGAGGTCAGGAGTTCAAGACCAGTCTGGCCAACACGGTGAAACTCCGTCCCTACTAAAAATACAAAAATTAGCCAGGCGTGGTGGCGGGTGCTTGTAATCCCAGCTACTTGGGAGGCTGAGGCAGGAGAATCGCTTGAACTTGGAAAGCAAAGGTTGCAATGAGCTGAGATCGTGCCACTGCACTCCAGCCTGGGTGACAGAACAAGACTCTGTCTCAAATAAATAAATAAATAAATAAATAACAGTAAGATAAAAGAATGGAAGGACATTAAGATTTTTATATAAGGACGGAATGCCTACCACATTTCATTGAATCTAAGATGTCATCAATTATAAGACACACTTATTTTACGTGCCATTAACGAAAAAACTCCTGCCAATTAAATTCTGACAATGCATTTTTATCACTTAGGGATTTTATTTTAGACTAACTGAACACTTACTTAGATTTTCTTAATAGATCGCTCATCCATACATTTAAAAAAAAGTGAAGTAAGTTGGTTAAGGTAGTCCTAAAAGTTCTTTCCTTTCAGTTTCTAATTCTTCCGAATGATTTTTCAACCTTGAGTTGTCAGAATTCATGCCTTGCCTCACAGTATCAATCTCTACGCTATCGAGAGTGTTAGAAAGGTGGCATTTTGTGCTCAATGAGCATCTCTGGGATTTTCCTACAAGCCATTGACACTCATTCTGCAGGTTTCGGTGCATGTGTGCAGGCGGTGACGACCATGTCATGACAGCTGCCAGGCAGTGACTGTGAGATGCATCTGGATTTCAGAAATGCTAAAATCGGGGGGAAAACGTGCATCTTTGAATCCATAAAACATGTTTTCTTCTCCAATATTATAATAGCCAAAGAACAGGCTTAAGATGATTTCCATAATTTCATAGTCTATATATTGTACATTCTTTTTCTGTATGGGCTTTTTTCTTTTGTTCCCTGCCCCTTTGAGAATTGAGGATTACAGCAGAAAGAATCATCACTAGAGACCTATGAAAGACAGCACTGATGTGTATATGTGCATGTGCAAACGTTGAGGACATTTTCACTATCACTTCACCACTGTGAATACTGTCCTACTTTTCTTTCTACTTGGATTTGGGGAGGAGGGAAAGACAGGATGAGAAGGAGAGACAGGAAACCCAGCACAGAAACTCCCTTGAAGATGTTATCACAACTGAAACAGTCACCTTCAGTCACACATCTGCTGTCCAATAGCCCAAGTGAAGTGTCACCAATGGTTGCATCAGAGCTCGTCGTGCAGCCTTTGGCTCCACACTGGATATTTCCCTTCCTCAGGTGGGTGCCATGCATGAAGCTACTGCTCTGGGGAGATGCAGAGTGAGCAAGATGTGATCTAACTCTTTCCACTATGTGCCTCTGATCTGGAATTTAATTCATGTAAACACTTGTATGTTCAGTGAGCTGACATTTTAAAAAGCAAAATGCCATAGCGTTTGCATTCCTACAGTGAATTTCTATGTACATGTTAACTGTTTCAATAACATGAAATATAAAGGTAATCTTGAAGAGAATATAATACCTACTTATTTCAAAGTAGCCAGGTATTTTTTTTTTTGTTTGCTTTATCTTATCCCCCCTTCTTTTAAGGCAGTAGGCTATTATATCCAACTATAAGGATTTAGGCAGAATTGGGTTTCCTTCTAGTCTTGCTCATTTAATATTAAGTGGAACACAGGCTGGGCACAGAGGTTCACGCCTGTAACCCTAGCACTTTGGGAGGCCAAGGCGGGAGGATCACTCGAGCCCAGGAGTTCAAGACCAGGCTGGGCAATATATTGAGATCCCCGTCCACACAAAAAAATTTAAGAATTAGCTCGGTGTGGTAGTGCATATCTGTATTACCAGCTACTCTAGGGGCTGAGGTGGGAGGACTGCTTCAGCCTGAGAGGTCGAGGCTGTAGTCAGCCACGACTGTGCCACTGCACTCTAGCCTGGATGACAGAGCAAGACCCTCTCTCCAAAAAAAAAAAAAAAAAAAAAAAAATTAAGTGGAACATAAATCAACGTCAGCTACACACTTGTATTTTGGACTAAGAATGGGGTTAACACAACTGATCTTTACATTGGGAGTACTTCAAGTTAGAGAATACAGGAATGCTTTGTTTTGACTGGTGATTCTGGTTACTCATTTAAAACATGACCCCAGACTCATAATCAATCTCTCTCCTCCCTCTCTCACACCCTGCTTCTCTTTCTCTCAGTCTGTCTCTTGACCTTTGGATATTTGCTGTAAAAAACACTGAATCAGTACTTCCGGCATGTGTGCTATCTGCTGGAACACTAGCTAGTTGAGATGCCATTCCCTCTCTGTGGTGGACTGTACACACAGTATTCCATGAGATTTTTGTGTTTTCCAAGAAGCGGGGAAAAGAGAATTATCTGCCCAGGTGAAAACTGACACTACCCTTTAGTGCACAGGTCATTCCTTATAATATTTTAAATAGGATCAATTGTCACACTGACTGATAGAGGTAGCATGTTCACCTCCTTTTACTTTTTAAAACAGTGACTATACTCCCAGTATTGAATATGCTCCGAGTTAAATTTCTAAGACTCAGTTTTTCCAAGAAGTAACTAAAACATAAATCCATAGGGGATCTCTGCATTTCTGTATCTCTATATAGGGTGGTATAATAATTTGCTTGAATAAAAGTAATTATAGGAAAATATATTCTGGTTGCGTATCTCTAGCACTTTGTACTCCTCAAGACCCAGTACATTTCTATTATTTCATCTGCCACATTACATTGTAATGAATTCATTTCTGTTTTTGTCTTATCCATGAGGCCAAAGACAACAAAACAATACTTTGAGCAGGTAGGAACTGTCAGTCATTTGTATATCTAGTCCTTTACATATAGTTAACTGCCCAGAAATGTTTGTGGATTAAATGAAATAAGCACTCAGTATTAATACTTGTTGCCTGATTGACTACCCAGAACTAATTTACGTAATAAAATTGCAGAACATACAATGAGATTTGAAAACATAACATGGGCTTTTTATCTAAGAAATCCATTTAAGACTCTTCAAGGTATAATTACCATTTTCTTGCTTTTAGAACCTTCATGAAAATCTGTGGTCTGTTTATTTTACAGTTTCATTATGTCAGAAGTGTAGAATATTGAGAATCTGTCCCTGTGGTCTACCAGACTTAAATGATGGGCTGAAATTCCCCGAGATGCAATGTCACAATTAACAAGAATTTCAAGTATCCATGGAAAATCTATCGCAGGGGAAAATAGTAAGGGGACTCTGTCATAATGAATTTCAGGGTCAGCAGGAAAATAAATATGGCATAGTGGTTAGGAACAGAGTTTCTTGGGGTTCAAGGACCAAGTTTGCCATTGATCAGCAGTAGCACACACAGAAGTTACCTGACTTCACGGTGACTTCATTCATCATCAGTAAAATGAAGATAATAACAAAACTGACTCTGAGTTATTATGAGGGGTGAATTAAATGAGATAATGTGATACATATTAAACACTCGATGCATTTTGACTACCATGCAGGTGGATTAATCAAGTATAATATCTAAATAAAGCAAAAATTAAAAACACCAGGCAATGTTACTATTATTATAGTATTAGATGCTTTTACTGGCATCAGATGGCAACAGACTTCACTGGTACTGTAGAGTCAAATTAAGTTCTTCTTGTTCTATTTATAGTGTGCAGCACAGATTTGGTAGAAACAATTCTGGAAAGACAAACTTGTGGGACTTATAAAGATCCTTTTCCTTCTAGAGATAGTAACATCTTATAGGTGCTACAAAAATATAAGCCCTTATATTTTTATATACAAAAGTATAAAAAATATATATTATAGATAGCAATATCCTCTGCTACTTTTGTAGTGATAACAGAAAAAAAAATGGATACCAGTATCGAGTATATCTATAGAACTGCTGACTATAAATTAATCAAAATTATTTTCTCACCTGGATTCTATTTCTTAGGGAATACATGACCTACTCTGATCAAATGGCGCTTAAAAATATTGATGACTGTACTCAGGTACTTTTCCCTTAGTGTCCAACATAAAATAAATTTGACTGCCAGCTACTATATAGAATTAAGTTCCCATTAACTAAACAAAAAGAAGCAATTGTACTGTAGTTTAATGCACTCCTTATAGCTTTAGAAAGGCACTGAACATATACATTTACCTTTTGTTCCAGAAGATTGTGTTAGAGGAGCAGAAAAATCAATTTGTACTCCCTACTCTAGAAATAGGGCTGTACGAGTCTATATACTAAATGGTCTGACATTTAGCATTACTCACTAATAACCTATTCATGGATGATTAAGAATTTGTTATATATAATTCAAGTAAGTATTTCTCTTTTTCCTCCCTTTCTACCCACCCACCTCTTACCTACATATGTATCTTGCTTATGTAACTGCTGGCCTTTTAGGATTTCTCTTAGGCTGTATCTTTTTGTTTGTTTGTTTTGAGAGGGTGCTACTCTGTTGCCAGGTTGGAGCGCAGTACCACAATCACGGTTCACTGCAGTCTTGACTTCCCTGGGCTCAAGTGATCCTCCCGCCTCAGGCTCCTAAGTAGCTGAGACCACAGGTGTGTGCCACCCCACTTTGCTATTTTGTTTTTGGTAGGGTCAGGGCCTCCCTATCGTGCCCAGGCTGGTCTTGAAGTCCTGGGCTCAAACAATCCTTCCACCTTGGCCTCCCAAAGTGCTGGAATTATAGGTGTGAGCCACCACGCCTGGCCCTAGCCTGTATCTTGAATACTTATACAGACATGTAATTTCTTACTTGGACCTACTCTTACTGTTCTCTTTTCTTGTCATGCCTGGACATTTTTTTTTTCCATCTTACCACTTTAGAACCACTGTAAAATTAAAGCCTAGATCTAAAATGAGCAGAAAGAGTACTCCATATTCTTATTTATTGGTAATGTTGATTAAATAATGTAACCTTATTATATTTTATACAGATAAGCAATGTGAACATTAAAAAATATATAGGGCCAGGCACGGTGGCTCACACGTGCAATCCCAGCACTTTGGGATGTTGAGGTGAGTAGGTCACTTGAGTCCAGGAGTTTGTCTATAAAATCACAAAAATTAGCCGGGTGTGGTGGCACACGCCTGTAGTCTCAGCTAACCTGGAGGCTGAGACAGGAAGATCACTTGAAGCCAGGAGATGGAGGCTGCAGTGAGCCAAGATCAGGAGCACTCCAGCCTAGTTGACAAAGCCAGACCCTATCTCAAAAAACAAACAAAAACAAAAACATCCATAATCCTACCATCCAGAGGTACTACTTCCTTGTATGTATCTTACTTCACACAATCATTCCTTAACTGTAAAGAACTGAATTGATAATGGTAGTCTATTAATAGATTTTAGAAGACTATTACCAAAAAAAAAACAACAAAAAAAATAAACTACTTCTCTCAATTAACACAAATGAAGAGATTTTCATAATTCTAGTTATAGTATAACTATAGTACAGTATAGTTGAAGACCTGTCTTTGTATAAAACATTTTCTAATATTTAGAAATTAAATCCTTCTAAGTGGATAGAGAACAGTCTGGAAGGCAAAAACCTCCCTTAAAAACCAAACCTAAAATACTGTTATTACATTAAATTCAAGTTTCTGCTAATTTTGCTTTGCAACAAAAGAATAAATATTCTCTTCAAGACTCCAGTTCTAACAGTAGGGGCAAATGCAGAACACTTAAAAAAAATTCTTCTGTGGAGATGAAAATTTTGACATAAGCACAATGCTTTCAACTACACAGTGTAACCTACTTTATAATATGCCTACTTCTCCAGAGGTCAGTCTTCAAGAAGTCTCGGTATTTCAGAATATAGCTCTCTGAACCTGAAAACAAAAGCTGCTAAATGACAGCTACAAGTCCACTGCATTACTTGATAAGAGAAAGGGCCCCAGTCTTAGGCCATTACCTAGATCATCGTGAGTAGAATGACAGACAACCCCAGAAGGAATAGAAAAACCATTACAACATTCATCCTTATCTGTTCTAAATCGCCAACACAACAGTTCATGGTTATTAACACAAGGGCAATCCTACAAGCTTCACTGGCCCACCTAGGAATTACAGTAATTATTATTGATAATGACACCCTTGAGTCAACAGGCAAAATATGTTTGAAATACTCTAGTTAGGAAATTCATAAAAACTATGACACAATTTGAAGATTTCCATAAATGCATTAAAATGGCATTTTTTGACACAAAAGGTAAAACTACATGAAAAACACATTTATGTGGCCCACTCAGTTACCTAAAGGTGCAGGATTAAGGTAATTCCGCTATAGTGTAACAATATCAATTAGCTCACTCAAAAAATACTTAAGTACTTCCTATGTGGCACTAGGTATCAGGTACTGGGACACGGCAGTGAGTTAAACAGGCAAAAATGCCTGACCACCGAAACTTATATTTTAGTGGAATATACAAAACAGTAAGAGTAGTATTTACTTCCTTGTCCTTTCATTGCGGAAGGTCAAAGGTCTCTAAATCAGTGTTGTTACTCCCACCTTATAGATCTAAAATAGGCACAAATGGAAGAGCTCTTAATCCTTTGTTTTACAGCCAAGTTTTAAAGACTAGTCCCTTTCAAAATAAAATGTTAGAGGCCGTAAAACAAATAATTCTTCATCAAACATCCAGAACTCCAAAAAAAAAAGTGGGGGAGCAAAAAAACAATGTCCAGATTTTGAGAAGAAAATCTTGACCCTGTAATTCCAAGGGTGATGACACTTTTAAACATAGCCCGTTATTTCTGCAACTTCCTTGTTGCTGAGAAGAAAAGGAAACAGTGCCTCTTCATAAGCAAAACATGATTATAACTCTTATTTTATTAACATAATTTTTATACTTTCTTTTATAAATCTGGTCGGGTGGTACCTATTGTATTATCAACTACATATATTATCATATTTATTTCATCACAATTAAACATCACAATTTAAGGAGGAAGGGGTTATAAGTGATTTTTATGAAGTAGGGTCTGAAAAGATTCTGGGCATTATCTGACGTTAAAATATAGAGCAATCATTTTTGTAGATTAGTTGTTAGGCAACTCATAAAATATTCTGATTCCACGTTATCTACAACCAAGTATGGAGAAACTGAGATACTGGTGGAGGAGGGAAGAAAGGACATTTGGGGAAGACAGTGGAGGGAACAAAAGAGAGGCAGAGCTGGGAAATTCTCTTCCACATTTTCAAGCCTAGGCTTTAGAGGTGACAATTCTTAAACATTTAAACAACTAGCAAAGGACTACTTGAGTGACTTCCAACCACCAACATGTTGGAAGATGTTCAGAAAAACACGTAGAAAAAGGTCAATGTGAGTGGAGAATGGAGAGAAGAATGAGAATGGCAATTACATGGCCACCATGGACAAAATAATTTGTGCTCATTATCCTCCCCTTTGCAAATTTAATGACTCAAAACCATTTGAAATTAATTTTAAACTCATGGACATGAAAGATGAGTATATAACATTAACTCAGAAAGTGTTCTCTGAATGAGGACCCTCCAACAATACTTGGGCATGACCAGTGCTTGTTTCTTTATCATTTGATAAGTCACCTAGTTATCCCACTGTCATGATCTTATCGTTTTCTGTGTTCATCCCCCACCCCATGTGTAGTATTTTCCATGGTAGGCCACTTTCATCTTTGGATTCTCAACCCCTAGAATACCACTAGTGATAATATATATACACACGTTGAACCAAACAGTAAAATACTCTTCTCTCTGACATTGTTAATACTAAAATGCTACAAAAAGTTGTTACGATAAAGTAAATTTACCCATGATTAAATAGCAGCAAAGTTTAAAAACTATTGCTTACTAATCTTAAACTTGAAAGAGAACTGAAAATTTCATTTTAGATATAATGGGCTCAAATTCAGATTCTAAAAAGGAAGAAAAAAAGAATTACTGAAGTAACCATATTAGTGGATAAATTTTAAAGACAAATTTTGTTTTAATTTTCAATTGACCAGAGTAATTATACAGATTTTAAAAGAACTTATTATAGATGTAATGCTGAACCTCCATAACAGACAATAACTCATGGAAGAAGCAGCAACAATTGTTCACATATAAAAAGCTAATCTCATAAAGTCTTATAAGAACATTTTGTTCTTTTAAACTGTAAAATACAAGCACTTTGCAATTCTGTTTATACTATATGGACCTGGTAATACTTTTTCCTAATCAGATACTTGAAAAGGGATTTTTAGCCCAAATGAATCATCAAAATTATGAATTAATGAAGTTTAACTTTTACTCAATCAAGTATGGCAGGAATTACTGAACATTCACAAAATGTACAACATCGTAGTGGCCAATCCACCTCTTCCTTGGCGTAATAAAAAAAAAGTTTGATATATTAAAATATGAACCAATAACCCACTGAGGGAGAAAGTAAAAGAGGAAAATATCATACGATTATTTAGGTCATTCAAAAAACACCTACAAATTAATTTACCCTTTCTCAGTCAGACCAGTAACATCAAAAGTTAATTTTTTTAAAGATCAGAGATCTTCAATATTTATAAACAACAAAATCCTTTCTAAAAGCAAAACTTTGTACATAATTATAAAAGGCAGTTGCCCAAGCTGCTCTTGAACTCCTGGGCTCAAGCAATCCTCCCACCTTGGCCTTGGCCTCCTAAAGTGCTAGGATTACAGGCATGAGCCACTGCACCTGGCCTTACCAGTCTTAAGAGATTATTACAATCCCAGCATATTCTTCAATTAAATTAATCAAGGTATTGAAATTGTAAAAAAATCTTACTTTTCCTTCCTTCCTTTTTCTTTTCTTTTCTTTTCTTTTTTTTTTTTTTGAGATGGAGTTTCCTTTTGTTGCCCAGGCTGGAGTGCAGTGGCACAATCTCGGCTCACTGCAACCTCTGCCTCCCAGGTTCAAATGATTCTCCTGCCTCAGTCTACCAAGTAGCTGGGAATACAGGCACACCATCATGCCTAATTTTTTGTATTTTTAGTAGCAACGGGGTTTCACCATGTTGGCCAGGCTGGTCTCGAGCTCCTGACCTCAAGTGATCCACCTGCCCTGGCCTCCCGAAGTGCTGGGATTACAGGCATGAGCCACTGTGCTTGGCCAGAAATTTTAGTTTTCAAAGACCACCATGTAAGTTTGTTATAAATAATCAAAGTCAGACAAGAAGCACTCCATGTTTATAAAAGAGGTTAACACCTCCATATTACCATTGTCATCAGGACGAAACATATTCACATGCATTTACTTGTTGCCTACAACTAAGCCAAGGTGAGTGCAAAGCCAAGGTGGTAAGTCAAGGCTGAGCCATTATGGCAGAGCCTCGCCTGACCTGCCAGAGGGTCCACACACATGTCCACACCAATGTAAGCTTTCTGGTTCCATTTGATGAGTAAATGTGTAATGAACATAGTTATTTAAAAGATCAGCAAAGAACTACAATTCTAGTCAAGTACACATTTTTGAAGTTTAAAAATAGACTTTTATCCCAAGGTTCACAGAAAACTCGTTAAGTTGCCAGTATTAGTTAATACCTCTGTGGTCTCCTAAGGGTTGAAATTTGGTACCCTACACATTTGAAAAAGTGAATTAAAAAATTATTTATATAGTTTGAACCTTACAAATCTAGAGTATTTCTCACTTTTAACAGCATGAAACAGTAGTAAGATAAGGTATCAGGAAACTAAACTGACATAATTACCCCAAAAGTAGAACCCTTAGCCATCTATACTTTCTAAACAACTTACGTTTTAAGTGAGATATGAACATGTTTGTGTGATATGATAAAGTGAAACAAATGTGACAACCAGAGAACTAGGGGTTTTTCTTTAAGTTTAAAATTCATGTCCCTCTCTCACCACAAGAAAAAAAAAAACACAGATAGTGTTCTGTTGGGGTGGTGAGATTATGAGCGTTTTTCTTTTTCAATTTTTCTGTAATGCTACACATATTTAAAAATAAAAAAGAATAGATTTTTAAAGGATATTTGTTCACTCACAGGATCACTACCAAGATAGCGCATTCTTAAGTTCTACCAAAAGAAATAAGTTCCGTGTTAGGAAAGGTTAAAGAGAAAATGGGAGACATGCCCACATAAAGATGTGCAAATGACCTACACACTTGACTTTGATGTTTGTTATTATTTGATAGGCAGATCCCCGGACTTAACAAGCAAAGCTCACAGGGAATTTCAAACTCCCAAATGAAAAGGCAAGCATAGACACTTACTAAGTCAAAACAGCTACATTACAGAACAAAAAGCCCATACTACTCAGACGACCTTCTAAAATCAAAACATGCTAGCAGAGAACCACCGCTTTCTTTCATGGTTTTGTACCAATATGCTTTCTCATTGGGTTAGCACAAAATAAAACAAACTCGGTGTACTCTACCAAAAAAGAAGTTTTGGCTTTCCATTTCTCCCTCACACTTTCTCAAATACCCTGGCACCACATTTAGAATAGTCAGTCACAAACACTGTCTAAGAATGATGTATTCAAACGTAATCGTGTCAACAGTCAAGACCTCGGAAGCATTCTTTTGAATGGCATTGGTGTGCGCAAAGAGAATTTTATCTTAATGAAAGGATGGCCTAAATACTGTCAACTACAGACTTCAACTGTCTGAAATTTTGTTTCTATCAAATTTTTAAAAATTCAAGTACAAATTATCCTTTATACCTTGGAATACTCCTTTATTTCCAAATCGAAATTCAACAGTTCCATTATAACTTCATATCAAATGTTAGCTTTATACAAATTTCTTAAGATATCTTGCCTTGCTTTCTGTATTAAAAAGTCAATTATGTGCAAAAATTCAATTTTTCCCCATTTATTCTAATACAATGGATGATCAACTATAGCAATATTTGTATAGTTATCCAAAAAATTGGGGGAGTCCTTTTTTTTTGTGTTTAAAAGCAGGGAGGTACTCTTTTCAAAAAAGTTTTGCCATCAGGTATCCGCTACTCTATTGAATACAGGATGAAAACCAAAGCAACTGTTGGGGGAGGGGTTTTTTTGTTTTGTTTTGTTTTGTTTTTTTGCTATACAGCAAATACAGCAATACTTCAAAACTAAAATAAAGCCAGAAAAAAGTGATTAAGCTCTTTCTGAGATATTTTAAACATAAAGATATGGCACATACTGGAAGAATAAAAGTTAGCATTAGTTTTCATGTAATATTACAGAATACAGATATTAAAGTTCCACCCCACCCCAAAGGACACGAGTCCATTTTCATAACACACACAAAACCTATAACAAAAGGTAATAAACAGACATATAAAACACATTTATATTATTTCAGATGTGAAACAAAGCAATTTTAAATTACATCTGACACCCTGTTCTTACCACTACTCTATTTTTTAAAAAATATTTTTTTAAACACTAAGTTGAATGAGACACCGCTCTATTTCTGTTCACATACCAGGAATCGAGGATATAGAATGTTAGCCTCCAACATGCATGGTTTTGCTATTGGAGAGTTCTGTCATACTCATAGTAGAATGTAAATACAGTTGCTTATATTTAATGACTTTTGTTTATTCATATAGAAAGAAAAAACTTTTAATAATGATAGCATGAGATAATTAACTGTTTGGTAGGCAGACCAGAAGTCCTATATAGATGATTTATAATACATTAAGAGAAACTAATGTTATTAAGCGGTTTAAGTGTAGAATCTGGAAGATACAAGTTTTCTAATAAGCCTATTATTTGTGACAGATCAAGACACTGCTCCAATTATGCATTTTAACTGCTTTTGTTATCTCTAAAGTGATAAGGCTGAGATAAAATGAACTCCAAGTGATTTCTAAATATTTCAAGAAGTAGCATTGTATTCTAACATCGCTTGAAAACAGAATACCTTTTATACGTTCCAGTATGTAAAACTGGCAGTTAGTTATGAAACACCAATAACTTAGTAATAAACTATGATCAAGGGATTGCCAGCCATCTGTTTACAAACCTATTATTTAAATGAGGACAGGGTACAACAGAGTCAACAATCAAGTCTCAGTCACCAGGCAGTCATCTCAACATGTCATGCTTTTATTCAAATAGTGTTACTTAACATAAGAACAACTTACTTTATTAATCAGCACGTTGTAATTTGCAATGTCTTGGGATTTAAAAAGATATTGAGGTATCTGTTTGCTATTTGGAATATCACTTGATAATCATCTATGTTTTACAGAAAAGAGAGGCTTGGAGAAATTGAGGAATGAGATTAAGACAGTACAACATTCACAATGGAAAAGTCCCACAAGTTTCTAACTCATAAACTGGTCCTCTGATTCTATGAAACAGCAATAAAGAAATCTACCACATTAGGACCCAAATAAAACCTAGTCTAAAACCTTTTCACAATTAACATTAGTGCAGTGATAGTTTGCTTATTCAATGAGCAAAAACAAATTCAAGTAGACAGAAGTACTCGATTATAATAAGGCTTGAGAAATCTGACAAGATTCAAGAGGCAAATATTTCTTTTAAAAATTCCTTCGAGTTTGAATACTGAGAGTTGAATTTATTAAGTAAACAGGCCATCACTGTTAAGGAAGTAACATAAAACAAATACGAACATAATCTATTCCAATTCAAGTCTAACAAAAATTTGTGATTCTTGGAGATGGAAAATTATACATTTATATTTCAATATATCTATTAACTAGCATATTCTTAATAAATGTTCCCTGAAATAAGAGAAATATGATTTATCCTTAGCTCTGGCATTTAAGCTTTTGATCATATGACAATGTCAGAATTAGAAAAGAAAAATCATTTTAAAATAAGTAGTTTCTTAAAAATTCAGTCTTCCAAATTTTCTTCTACAATATTCAACTAACAATAATATCAGCCATTTGGCTGAAATCTCAAGATTTAAAAATGCAAATGCTTGCAAAAAAGACTATACAACCTTACCTGAAATATTCTCTGTAGTAATCATTTTCAAACTTTGGTGGTGACCCACAGTAAAAGGTATTTTACATTTTTCAATATAGATTCACACAAATATATCTGTGTAAGTGCAACAAAAGTTGAAATAATACCTTGTCTTACTAGGAGCTATGTATTATTTAATTTTTTAAAATGCTAGTTTCAACTCACTAAACTGATTTAACAACCATTAATGGGTCATGACCTGAAGTTTGAAAAACACCGCTCAGAAAGTTTAAACGGGGGAGGGGAGGTATCAAAGAAAGTTGATAAAGTACTTAATTTAGCTTTGAACAACAATATTTTGGCTAAGTAATAGATGACTAAAAAGTGAGAATTTTTAAAGGCAGTAGGGTAATAACCTCACTCTCAGTAGCCTACATACTACATTATATTTCTCAGCAACTAAAGTGGAAAGGATAGAAAAACTACCAAATAAAACTGCTCTTTCCTTCTACTTCAAAGTAAAGCTAATTATGTATTTTATTAATTAGATTTCAGATAGTAGACATTATTAACAAAGCCAAGGAAGAATTAAGAAATATATAATATGGCATTGCAGTAAAGAAAGAGTAAAAAAAAAACCTTAAAAAATAAATATATAATGTCTGAGACAGCTTCTGGCCTAGAAAAGAGCTCCTGAGAATTATCTAGGGATTCCAACTTCCCTCAAACAGAACGCCACTAATATCCTCCAGATTGGCTGGCCCAACCCCTAACCACCTCAAGAAAATGTTTACATTAAAGCTAGGTTCAAATGGAAGGTCAGTTAGCTTTAAGATTTGGGAAACCAGCAACAGCTTTTTAGCTACAGTATAAATCACTGTTAAAAAAATTATTAACTTTCTAAATTGACAAAAATTCTATTTCAATGCTACCAAATTTCCTTCAAATATTTGGTAAGATAAGCTTTATTTCAAGAATGTTTTGCCCACAATTCAAAAAGCTTTTCAGATTTAACCATATTATTTTAAAGAATGACAACAATTAACTGTGATTTTCATCTCAATTCTGACTTTTAAAATGGCAGTTTATATCAAGTAAAGATAAGGGATTTATATCGTACAAATTCAGATTTGTTCTTTAGAAACTGTTTCTGTGAATAATACAGAATAGATACCAGAAGATTATTTTCTATTTCATTATAGGCTACACAAAAATCAACATGACTTTATTTGGAATAAGATGGCCAGAAATGTTTTTATCATTTAAATTGCAGAACAAAATGCAAAGCATAAAAAGCTCAACTTCAGGAACGAGATTGAAATCACACAACGCACCCATAGCATTCATCTAGTAGGGGAAAAAACTCAACAAATGAACCAAGCATTTACACACACACACACACATACACACACACACACACACACACACACACACACGTATGTTTAAATTTTTTAATTTTTAAAATTAAAAAATTATTTATTTACTCAAGAAATAAATTTTGTCGCGCAGGCCGGAGTGCAGTGGTGTGATCACATCTCACTTGCAGCCTCGATCACCTGCACTCAAGAGATCCTCCCATTTCAGCCTCCCAAGTAGCTGGGAATACAGCCACATGCCAACATGCCCGGCTAATTTTTATTTTATTTTTATTTTCTGTAGAATGGGTCTCCCTACGTTGCCCAGGCTGGTCTTGAACTCCTGCGCTCAAGTGATTCTCCTGCCTCACCCTCCTAAAACACTGGGATTACCAGCATGAGCCACCACACCCAGCCTAAATTTTAAATTATTTGACACTAACATCAACAAATGAAAAACTCATTACAGAATATGAGGGGGACTAACAATGTATACAATATTTTTCTATGTACATACAAGGGAAAAAATGTCATTAAGCATACACAGTCAGCCCTCCGTATGTGTGGGTTCCACATCTGTGGATTCAACCTACCGTGGATCAAAAATATTTGAAAAAAATAAAAAATAATAGCAATAAAAACAGTATAAAGACTACAGCATTTATACTGTATTAGCTGTTATAAATAATCTAGAGATGATTTAAAGTATATGGGAGGTTATATGTAGGTTATATGAAAATACTATACCATTTTACATAAGGGACTTGAGCATTTGAGGATTCTCTATGGGGGGTCCTGGAACCAATGCTCCATGGTTATGAGGGACCACCGTACTATAACCCCGTTCCCACTGGTGCTCTGTATGCATATTATCATTTAAATACCTGCAAGGCTAGTATTCATTCTAATTCTACAGGTGAAAACATCAAGCTTGGGAGGACCACAGACCTTGCTCACGTGTACAATGACCCTAAGTAACACCAGGACAGTACACCCTGCAAGATTTCAGCAAGGACTTGGTAGGACCATCCCTCCCCGGGCTCAATACTGTCCACTTCACCATCACAAACTGCTTAAGAGACCAAGCCCCAGATGGGGCCTGCAGAAAACTGAGTATCACTTTCCCCTAGGAGATAATCAAGACCGATAATCACATTTTACATCCCCCATTACCTTAGCCAGAAGCTAGGCCTCCTAGGACATCCAACTGGATTCTAATTCCTACACGGTTTTCTGGCCCCTAGTCGCACTCAATCTCCCATTTTTTTTCAGATTCTGTACCCTCTGAAATGCACAATCTGTCATTAGCAAAATCTCCTCTATGTCCAGGGGCTTTTCTAACTGTTCCCTTCACCTTCCTGTTAAACCTCTGAGGAGTCTACCTCCATCACAGCCCCCTCAACTGGTAGCAATTTCTTCTTCTGTATACCACGCAGCAAGCTGTCCGGAGGTGAGGTGAGTGCCTCCTTGCTCTTCATTTTGCTTCTAGACTATTTTCCCTCCTTCCTTCCACCTGCTATCCCTCCTTGCAGTAAACATCTTGGAATGAAAGGGTTATGCCTCTTCCTTTTTTGAAGACTTTAGTACCTGGTTTACTGTTCTCTCCACTTCTACCCAAATGTTCCCAGGTAACAGATAGAAATATGGCAGAGATACGGTCTACGGAATATAATACATCCAAAACCTAGCTAAGCTTCAGGCTGAGTGCCTGGGTCGGAGGTCCCAGCTTGCCCCTTCCTGACTGATGTCTGGAGGCCTGCCCCCTGGTGCATCCGCTTCTATATCAGCAATAGGAGGACAAGCACAGAATCAGGCCCAACTCCACCCCAGGACCCACATTCCCGTCATGCTCCCAGCTCTTGTTCCTAGCTGTGCCACAGACTGAACTTGAACTAGCTCACAGTCTCTCCCTCCCATGTGCCTCTTCCTCAACATCACAGTCACCTGGCCCAGTCCCAATCCTGGTCAAATCCCACTCTTCCCTTACTCTAAGTCTACATGTGGCACTGCATTGGACCCTCTTTAAACACAGAAACATACATTCCAAATGGGCCCACAGCACTGCCTGGCAATCCCACCTCTTCCCTGGATCATTCTCTCTCCCACTCTTCATGAAGACCATTTCATACATTCTCGTCTCTCTTCAAACCTTCATCACGCCCCTTCTCCTTTCCCCACTCCCAGTCCTTAACTGTTTCTTGTTTTACGCATTTCATTAGTAAAAACAACCAGAACTACCTCTTCCCAAGTCAGCCAATGTACTCAAGGCCTCTGTTCTTCCACTTATCCCCACACTAACCATCCATGAGCATACAAATATGCCATAATATCCGAATCCTAAAAACAAAACAGAACTAACAAATGCCCCGGCCCAGCTACCTTCCTGTGTTTGCTCTTTGTCATGTCTAAACACTGAAAGTGCCTGTACCTGTTGCTCCTTCCTACCTTCCACTCCTCTCCTCGGTCTTCTCCAGTCAGACTTTTGCCCCAACCATACACTCAAATTGCTCTTGTCAAGGTCCACAGTGGCCTCTCTCTTGCCAAATCCAATGGTCCATTTTCAGTTTTCATCTTATATAACTTCAAAAGTATTTCCTTCTTCATTCCCATCTTTCCTCATTTCCTCTCTTCTCCTCGCACCCCGTATCTAGTCCAGTAGCACAACTGCTTGTTAGGCTTTCACGGCCACCTTGGTGGGGCAAACCCCCATTCCCCCAACCGGTGACGGCCTCAGAACCCGACCTATTCTCCAGAGAGCAGGCCAAGCGCACTTGTTAAAAGAGAAATTAGACCATGCTGCATCCTTGACCAAAACTCCTTTTAGATTAGAAAAAAATCCCAAGTCCATTCCATATCATGGCCTATAAGGCCCCATAGGAACTGGCCCCTGCCTCCCTCTCAAATCCATCGGCCGTTCCACAGTTACCTCCCACCATTCTCTCTAGATTCAGTCCTGCCACAAAGCTCACTCCCTCTCATGCACAGCTGGTTTCTGTGTGACAGCATCTATACTTGCTGTTCCTCGTGCCTGAAATGTTTTCACCTGAGCTATCCATGTGGACTTCTTCCCTTCGATTTGCTTCAATGCCATCCTGATGGCTCCACCAACTGCAACTCCTCTCTGACACTCCATCCTCGCTCTCTTTTCCCTCCTTGCTTCTTCTCACAGCACTTATTACCGCCTGAAATTTTATCAAATGTTTACTTTTATATTGTCTGTCTCCCCAGCTAAAATGTGGGTGGCACTACATAAGCAACCTCGTTTCATCCACTGGAATATCTGCCATGTCAAAGGACTTACTGGGACTTATTGAGCACAGAGATGTTCTCAATGAATATTCGCTGAATGAATAAACTTAGTAAGTAGTGGTGAGGCTCTGAACCCAGATCCCTATGAATCCAAAGCCTATGTTCTTTCGAGCACACAACAGACAGTCTATATTTCTGAAGAAAATAATTGAGTACGAACCCAATTACATTTCTTTTTGTCAATTAACTTACTTCAAAATTATTATGTATTAAGATAAACAATATGGCTCAGATAGTAAGTAAATTGAAAAGCACCATTGTTGAAAGAAGAAACCTACTTACACTCCTGGGTTGAGTTAAGGCAACAAGATATATAACCATCCACATTTATACATAAAAATAAAAAGGATTTTTAAAAAGATTCCCTTAAATATCAAGTTGTGCTAAAGCAGTTAAGCCGGGATTTGATCTACAAAATTAAATATATATATATACACTTTATTTTTAAAAGCTCACCTATTATTAAAAACATGTCTTTTGCAAGTTTAACTGCCTTGAAATTTCCATTAAAAAGAAAATTATGTGTTAAACATGATGTTAGTTATTATAAACAAAGTGTAATAAAATTGGGAGACATATAGGTATATTAGCAGATACACTGACATATTTTTAGAATGAATTCAGTTCTTGCATTCTTAAAATTAACAGACATATTTATCCAACTTCATAGCTAACTAAAATCTACATGTGACGCTGATGAGTTACAGCAGGGTGATGGTGCATAAGGCTAATTACATGATTCATTCTACTTTTGTATAAGACAGCTTTATGCATGTATGCAACTTAAAACATGGTCAAAAATAGAAATACATACATTAATTACCTGAAGGAGATTCAGACAAAGACATAATGTAATAATCCATTAACAAAGGAAACTGTCTAGCTCACTGAAAGCAAGGTTTCTATCTTCTAAAGAACCTGAACAAGTCACTCCTGGGTAGCATCCAAACCAAACACTTTGGGTTAAGAGGTGGAGCTACACTAAAACATTTACAATCCATTCACTCCTCTGACACAATAAATACAACAGACTGTTTAGACTCCTAACAAGACTGGGGCTTTAAAAACTACATGGTTTTTTTTTTTTCTTTTTTTTTAGACAGTCTTACTCTGTCACCCAGGCTGGAGGGCAGTGGTGCAACCTCAGCTCACTGCACTCTCTGCCTCCCAGATTCAAGCAATTATCCTGCCTCAGCCTCCCAAGTAGCTGGATTACAGGTGCCCACCACCAAATCCAGCTAATTTTTGTATTTTTAGTAGAGACGAGATTTCACCATGTTGGCGAGGCTGGTCACAAACTCCTGACCTCAAGTGATCCGCCCACCTCAACCTCCCAAAGGTGCCGGGATTACAAGCGTGAGCCACTGCGCCCAGCCTACATGGTATTATAAACCTAGGGTGCCATGATTCTTTTTTTTTTTTTTTTTTTGAGACGGAGTTTCGCTCTGTCGCCCAGGCTGGAGTGCAGTGGCGCGATCTCAACTCACTGCAAGATCCGCCTCCCGGGTTCACACCATTCTCCTGCCTCAGCCTCCCAAGTAGCTGGGACTACGGGCGCGCACCACCATGCCCGGCTAATTTTTGTATTTTTAGTAGAGACGGGGTTTCACCGTGTTAGCCAGGATGGTCTCGATCTCCTGACCTCGTGATCCACCCGTCTCGGCCTCCCAAAGTGCTGGGATTACAGGCGTGAGCCACTGCGCCCGGCCCATGATTCTTTAGGAGCCTAAAAAGCCCTCACCTATACTGTAAGTGAGACTTCGCCCCTCCGGCAGCACAGGAAGAGCAAAGGGAAGAGCGCAGGTTCTTCATAAAAGGCTGGGGAGCGGCCAGGCGCAGTGGCTCATGCCCTGCCCGTAATCCCAGCACTTGGGGAGGCCGAGGCAGGCAGATCACAAGCTCAGGAGATCGAGACCATCCTGGCTAACATGGTGAAACCCCGTCTCTACTAAAAATACAAAAAAGTAGCTGGGCGTGGTGGCAGGCACCTGTAGTCCCAGCTACTCAGGAGGCTGAGGCAGAAGAATGGCGTGAACCCAGGAGGCGGAGCTTGCAGTAAGCCAAGATTGCGCCACTGCACTCCAGCCTGGGCGACAGAGCAAGACTCTGTCTCAAAAAAAAAAAAAAAAAAAAAAAAAAGGCTGGGAGCACCGAGGCTTTCAGGGGCATGAGGTGTGGCAGGCACATGTGGTCAGATGTGTTTATCATATACAAGGAAAAGGCTAATGGGTCAGTGATTTAACAATACACCTTTCACTCTACCTGCAAGACTAATGACAAGTGCCAACCACTAAAGAAACTACTATTTAAAATGGGTCATATTTGAGTTCTCAAGAATAAAAGCTTAGGAAGCACTTACTACCCCATCCCTCAGAAAAAGGTATACGAAGAAACTAGACATTTATAATAGATTTTATTAACAATTTACAGTAAAAGTCCAAATACAGAAACATCAAAATGCAAACATCATATGAAATAAAATTTCTTCTCATACACTCTTTTGAGATGCATTTACTGAGAACCTGCCACAGGTCAGCAGTATACCAGGCTCGGAGTACAAAGTGGGCAACTAGGGATGGCTCCTGTCCTTCTGGAGTTTATAGACTGAGGTAAGAAAGACAATAAATAAACAAAATACTCTTACCGACAGATTATAAGTGCTGTGAAACAAACCAACAGAGTGAAATGATTGAAATAGGAGGGGGAAAACACCTGCTTCAAATATCTCCCCCAAGGGGTTAACATAAGCCAATACTTGAAGGATGAGAAACCAACCATTTTCCTCTTACCCCGACATCGTTTAACACAAATCTCGGACATCAGATTATTTCACCAGTAAGTAATTCCATACGTATTTCTAATAGAAAAGGTATTTTAAGAATATGTATAACCACATCGCCATCATCACACCTAGCAAATTAATGACAATCTTAGTACCCAGTCTATATACAAATTTCCTCAAAAAATTGCAAAAAAAAACTCCCGACATTTTTAAAGTCAGTTTCTTTGAATCGGTATCTAAAAGAGGACCACATTGCAATTGGTTGATGTCACATAAGTCATTTTTGAACAATCATGGTTCCCCCCTGCTCTCTTTTTTTCATGCCACTGATTTGTTGAAGAAACCAGGTCATTGCTTTGGCAGAATATCACATTCTGGATCAAGTTGTTTCCCTCCTCCTGTATCACTTAATCTCTATCTGCTGTGTTTCCTATAAGCATGTAGCTAGATCTGAAGTCTTGACTGCACTTCAGGTTCAATGTATTTGGCAAGAACAGTTTATAGGTGACGCAGTATACCTCTTACTGTATCCCTAAAGAGGCACAAGTATCTGCTGTCTCACTTTCAGTGATGTCAAGATTCATCAATGGGTTGATGTAAGCAGAGGACAGAAGAGTGTCCCTGGCACAGCGACCACATTGCATGACTTAGACAAGGACTACTGGGGAACAAAGGATGCCAACAAGCTGGAGAACACAAGTTTATACAGATAGGTTTGCCAGATTGGGTGGTGAGTTCCCCATCCAAAAGGATTTTAAAAATTAATCTTAAAATACTGTGGCATAATAAATGGGTTGGCAATCTTCTAAAAGCAGGATCAAGCTTCTGACTTCTCTATTTCTATTACTTATGAGAAAAGGGCATAGAAAAAGGCTGCAAAGTATTGCCTGGATCAAGCCTGGGCGAATGAGAGCTGGAGTGGCTGCTGTGTGACTTGGGCTGCTTCCCAGGCACATCCTGCATTTCAAAGAAACCCTGGTTTCCTTTTCACTGCCATCTGCTATGAACTCAATCATGTCCTCCCATGTCCTCCCAACACTTCATACCTTGAATCCCTAGCCCCCTGTGTGCCTGTATGTAGACACAGGGCCTTTAAAGAGCTCATCAGGGTTACATGAGGTCAGAATAGTGGGGCCCTGATCTGACAGCACTGGTGTCCATAGAGGAAGAGGAAGAGAGACATCACGGGCGTGTGTGCGGAGAGGAAAGGGCCCACAAAGACCCTTGCGTGAGGCGCCCACCTGCAAGCCGAGGAAAGAGGTCTCAGGGGAAACCAAACCTGCTGACCCCTCGGTCCTAGACTCCCATTCTCCAGAACTAGGAGAAATCAACTGCTGTTGCTTAAGCCACCCAGTCTGTGGCATTTTGTGATGGCAGCCCGAGCAGACACCGACAAAAAACCTAACAGGTGAAGGTAACCAGCATAAGGGATTCCGGGGTCCGATTCAGAAAGGAAAAAAAGCACCAGTGCCTCGCCAAACAGCGTTTCTACAGCCACAGAGGTCCTGGACTGACGGATTAAGCCACTGGCAATGAACCATTGAACTGGATCTGGATTTGTAGGGAAATATTAAATGATTTGTTGTACTAACTCTGATATCTGCAAAAGTCTCTAAATAGTAAACCTACAAATTCCCAAAGATTTCTAAAGGTCTCTACCTTCAGAATTACCATGTATTTCAGAAATTAAGAAAATCATAGTTTTTTATAACCAGAAGGGTTAGGTCTTGCTTTTCAGTCTTACTTTTACAGATAAAACCAATATCTACTGGTTACTGAAATGTAAAACTAGTTAGTCTCATGACTGTTCCCAGAAAAAAAAAAGTATCCTAAATTATTATCTTTTCCACTATTCCATGTTGTTTCTTACCCATAAAAACTATCATTTTTGGCCAGGCTCAGTGGCTCATGCTTGCAATTCCAGCGCTTTGCGGGGCCAACGCAGAATGATCGCTTGAGCCCAGGATTTTGAGACCAGCTTGGGCAACATCGTGGGACCCTGTCTCCATTTCTTTTTTTTAATAAAAAAACTAAACCATCATTTTACAATTTTTTTCTCCTACTTGTATTTGGTTTAGTTAACACAGACGGCTTCAACTTCATATTTTATTGTAACTGTTGGCTCTTTTATTTTCCCATTTCAACTATTCAAAGACATCTTTCCTGGATGATGAAATAATGAGGATAATATGTTTCCTATTCTACATAAAAAATATCTCCCAAACTACAATGACATAAAAGCAATAAGTAAATCATGAATAATCATTATGATTTCAGAATTCTGGATGATCCGAAAGTGCATATGACTCGTTGTGGTAGCCTGGGCATGATTTAAAGTAAGGGCTTTAAACTTAAGTGCCTTTAGGAACCAGAAAAATGAAGCGAACGAGTAAAGCAAGCTAGGCCCATTACAGAAAGGAGTCCTGAAAAAGGAAAAGAGAAAAAAAAGTTTTGGCCCCAGGTCACTGTGGCTGTCGACCAAAATGGAAGCTCAATGTTCCCAAATCTTCAAATTTCTAAAGAAAGATGTAAACACTGCTTATTTGTTACGTAAAATTTTTCTGATTTAAAAATGTTGGCAACAAAATCAGAATTTTAAAATACACAACATGAGACAAACTAAGCGTACGTTCAGGATGAATGAAAACTGTGTCCCACAACCCACCTCCTTTGCAACCTCTGGTAAACGTCCTGCTGCTGCCAGCCACTGAAATCTATCAAACAAAGCTGAGGATATTCCCTAAGTATTTTTGCAGAATAATACGACACGAGGTATGTACTATCATACCAAGTACACCAGCCATTTCTTAAAATGCATTACTTTATTTCCTTTGGGTCTGCTTCTCTGCCATGTGGCAGAGGACTTGCAATCTTCCATGAAACTCAGAAGCAAGTGTTCACTTTTCTATGCAAATAATTTCAGTAACTTAAGTATTTTCTCTTAAAACTCTAAATATGTTTTCTTAAATGATAATAATTACTGTCCCAGATTAGGCCAGATTTCACTGACTGACTAAATATAATCACAATGCCTCATGGGTTTGAATACTCAGTCCCTTCCTCATGTTTGCTTGTTGCCATTTCTATTTTCTAAAGAAGTGAGTTTTGATCATATCAATAATTAACACCACTTTTTTCTTAAAGCACCTTCTTTAAAAGATCTAGATAGCAAGACTACACTTTCAGGTGTGAGTCTTCTCCCTCAAAAATCATATAATTAAAGTCAAAATACCATCTGCACCCCAACACATACATTTCATTTAGTGCTAAGAATGTGGCAAATAAAATATCAAAGACACTTAGAAGCTAAGGTTAAGCGGGTCCAGAGCTCTACATCACAGGTGAAATATCACTCTCAGTCAGATACTATTTGTTTGCATTTTGTTCTTATTTCACAACTTAAGAAAGCATGTATTATTTCTGGCTTGAACTTATTGATCTATTTTTTAAAAAATCTAGTCTGGTTTGTGATTCAGTATACAATAAATAAATTCAGTTTAGAGCTCACCGAATTATTCCTGTCTTTTAGTTAGTAGCCAGGTTAACATCCTTGAAAAAATAATTTTAGCTTTATACCCAGAATTCAACATGTTTAAAATTTATAAAGCAGGCTGGGTGCGGTGGCTCACACCTGTAATCCCAGCACTTTGGGAGGCCGAGGTGGGTGGATCATTTGAGGTCAGGAGTTGGAGACCAGCCTGGCCAACATGGTGAAACCCTGCCTCTACTAAAAATACAAATATTAGCCAGGCGTGATGGCGGGCACCTGTAGTCCCAGCTACTCGGGAGGCTGAAGCAGGAGAATCACTTGAATCTGGGAGGTGGAGGTTGCAGTGAGCTGAGATTGCACCACTGCACTCCAGCCTAGGCAATGGAGCAAGATTCTGTCTCAAAAATAATAAATAAAATAAAATAAAATTTATAAAGTAGAAATAATTTCAAAAGTCCTGATATTTAGATGTTTGTATGTTGTAGCAGTATTTTCTATTTGCAGTACGTCACACTATACATCTTTATTAGACACTTCATACTTAAATAAAAGTAGGAAAATGTCAGTGTTTACAAATACTAAGTGCTCAGTATAAGGAGGGACTGAGGAACTCTAAGAGTTCAGGGAAACAACTGGCCTCTGTACCCTACCTACAGGCTGTGCATCCTTGGACTCAACCAACTGCAAATACAAAATATTTGAGGGGAAAAAACCAATAAAAGTAACAATACAACAATGAAAACCTATAAAAATACAGTATAACAACTATTTACATAGCATTTATGTTATATTAATTATAAGTAACCTGGAGACGATTTCAAGTATACAGGAGGATATGCATAGGTTATATGCAATCACTATGCCATATCAGGGACCTGAGCAGTCGTGGAGCTGGGTATCTGCAGGGGTCCTGGAATCAGTACTCCACAGATACTAAGGGACTTCTGTAACCATCACTACCAGCGAGTAGGAAGAATAAAGGTTTCAATGTTATAGGCTCAACTCCTGGCTCTGTTGATTCCTATTCTGCAAATAAAGATACCTTTATAAAGATATAAAGTGGTAAATCTCCACTTTGCTATGAGAATCAAATGGGCCTAAGAAAGTATCTGCCATACATTAGACTGTTAAGCACTATAGTTTCCTTTTGCCCTGGATTCATTGCTATCAAGCATAAATAATATTTCTAAACTTTAATTCATCACCCTTTCTAAATATTTGGCTCTTCCTTCCATCTTCTGGCCTTCTTTGCTTTGACTCACTTTTTGAAATTAAGTTGTTAACAGATGCAGCACTTTATCCAATGACACTAGTTTATCCAATGGCACAGTGAAGTCCAAGGAAGCTTCTGGTAGAATCAAGTCTTTAATTTGGCAGAAGTGCTGTTCTGAGGGGCAGATGGTGGTGGAGGCCAAGTGCTGAGGTAGTGAATATGGTTCTATCCATAGGTGGTTTCTTAAGCTGGCCTCCACCTCCTGACTAGGGTGCATGTACACCAACAGTTCTCAAACTTCAGCATGTACAAGAATCAACTAGAGCCCTCTCAGAAACCCAGAGCCTGGGCCCCAGAGGCTCTGATCCAGTAAGCCTAGAATGGGTTATGAACCTGCATTTATGACAAGCTCCAGTTGAGGCTGATACTGCAGGTCAGAGGCCCACACTTGGTCTAGACGACCAAACACATTCCAGCAATGGCCCCTGGCAGGCCTCCACGGGAGAGGTGACAGGCCCAGCGACGGCTGGTAAGGGACATGTCTCCCTCCTGACCTTTGTACCTGCTAAGCCACCAGCACAACATTCTTCACTGTGGACTCCCAGCCCTTAGCAGCATAGCAGCATCACCTGGGAACTTGCTAGAAATGCAAGTTCTGGGCTCCATCCCAGGGCCACTGACTCAGAACCTCTGGGGCTGGGCCCAGGCACCTGTGCTTGGACAAGGCCTCTAAAGGCTTCTGATGCAGTGAGAAGCACTGCTCTGGGAGACAGGCAGCTCTTCATAACCACTTCAAACACAGAAGATCCAAACTAATCTGTCTTACATATCAGGTTTCCCTGTAAACGTTTGTTGAAGAAAGGGTTTTGTGGCTTGAAAAATGTTTGAGATCAGCTTCTGCCTCATTATGTGCTTTGTGGCTCTGGTGGCATAGGGTTAGCTGGATGCTTTATACAGATAAAGCTCTGTGCTACTTTCCTTCAGAAGCGCTCGGTAACCCAGATTTAGAAGAGGAGGTGGGTATGAGGGTGGGGACGGTGACCATGATGGTGTTGGGTAATGCCAGATGACATTTATAAGGTGTTAGGTCTATGGCCTTTCATTTATTAACCCATTTAATCTTCACAGCCGCTCACATGAAATAGCAATTGTTAGAATTTAAAGTTGCCAATGCTTAAAGTTGAGGAGATTTTGATTAATTATATGACTTTCCAATTTTTAATGTTAAAATGGAAAAACCTGGCAACATAGGGCTTGCATTCCTGCATGGGAAGAGTCACCTGAGCTAAGCAGTAGCCATGGCCTTCAGGCAGAAAAAGCCCCCTCCAGTTCAAAGATCCCCACCACTAGGCCCTCTGAATCAATGCCTGAATGCTTGGTTCTGGAAGGCATCTGAGTTTGTGACTCGTTTTGGAACAAACGTACATGTCTATGTACACACAAGAGGAAATGGCAATGGAGAAGGCAGGGAGCAGTGGAATGAAAGCAGGTTGGAAATGTGGAATAAAGGACTTGATGGGAGATGACCCAGAGCTGTGGGCACAGGGCGAATTCCATACGCTGCTGAGCAAATCTGCACCACTGCCAACTTCTTCTACGTATCTCCTGAACTGAGCCTCTTCTTTCTATTCCTGCTGCTGCCGCTCCAGATTCAGTCCCCATCGACTCCTGCTGGTTGTCACAGAGCCCACTTCACTAGCTCCTGCCCTCTTGGCTTTTCCAGCTTCAACCCACCCTCTGTGCTGCCTCAAGAGGAGTCTTTCTAAAACACAGATCTAATCATTGGCCCACTCACCAAACACCTTTCATGGCTCCACATTATTATAATAGCAGCTTTCATACTTCAAGACACAGAATCCTCCCTTGGAAGAAAGAGCTTACCTGGGAGATGCATGTATTAAAATGGGCAGGGCAATGGATGAGGCATTAAAGGCTCTGCTACGAATCACCCATCTAAGCCATTTCATACCAAGTCAGTATTGCCCAAACTTCTGGCTATTGTATTACCCTCATAATTTCTTTGCAATGTCAGCATGACATCTGAATTCTTTGTTATCCCTTTATTTCTCTTAAATTGGCTTATTTTTAACACTCACTTTACCCTTGTCCTAAGCAGTAATAGCCATGAACTCACTGGATCCTTGGGCTAATTGTATTTTTCTAATATAAATTAAATACAAAAAAATAAATCTAAATGCCCATTTGTTTTTTATCTAAAATTATCTCATCTGCCAGCAAGGATAGGAACAGCACACTTTGGGCAATGCTGGATTTCAAAGACCTCATCTGGCATCACAATCTGTGATCTAAGTCGCACCAATGACAGCCCTGCAGAAGGGCTGTGATTCCGAGGGTGTTGCGAAGCTCTGATGCAACTGCACCCCAACACAGGTGTGACTGTGCCCCTACTTTCAACTCCAGGAGATCCAGCGTGTGCTGCTGCTACTCCATATGTGCCAGACCTGGCTTTGACATTTTACAAAAATTGCTGTAAGTTATTCAATCCTACAGAAAGCTAAGCCAGGTGGCCCTACGAACACTGTCCACCCAATGACAGTCACCTAAATTTCAGCCCAAAATGAATGGGAGAAAGTAAGGGGTTAGGGAAAGGCTACACTTCACATGCAAAGTCTTAGATAAGAATCACGCTGTTAGGTTAGGAATGTCAAGAGGCAAAAAGAGACCAACAGAAGAATAAGGTGTACGCTGGGCATGGTGGTGCACGCCTGCAGTCCCAGCTTCTCGGGAGGCCAAGGCAGGAGGATCAGTTGAGCCCTGGAGTTTGAGACCAGCCTGGGCTCAACTGATCCTCCTTTACAAAATAAAGGCATAAGGTGCCTATTGGTAGAATTTCAAAACTAAATCTTACATGCTGCTTGCGCTCTATTTAATTCGTTTGGTTCCTTCATTACTTTTGTAGGAATAAATTTCAATATTTTCCTGTTTGGGGAAAGAAAAAAAAAGTATAAGGAGCCTTTGTCAGTGTCACATTTGTTCAGGTCCATAAAGCAAATTAATTGTGTCTTAGCAGAAACCTCTAAGGTTTCATAAAACAGCCACCCTAAATCTTTTTGTATTTTTCTGGCTTTTCTCCTCCGAAAGAAGAGAGGTTTAGAATAGTAATCTTAATCAGCAAATTGTTCCCCTCCCCAATGCAGCAGCAGGTTTTTCCTTTGAATAAGAATCATGTAGCTGTAGTTACCACCTGTTTCTGATAGCTTTGTCACTAAGCAATGGATATTGAATAATCCAGTCCTGCTCTATTTAAATGTGGGCGTTATCAGATATCTTGTTTGTTTTACCCTTTGGTTAGGAAGAGGTGCCAATAACTTGAGAGAAATGTTACCATCCAATACTGAAATTAAAGATAAGACACTGAAACTATAACTTCAGTAGGAAAAATAAAGGAAAGTTGAGTTGGAGGAGAAAGAGGAATTGGACAAGAGATGAAATATCACATATATATTCTAAAATACTCAAGTAATAAAAGAAAACTCCTTTCATAGCATCAAGTGTTATCCACGAGCACTTTTAATTATCCTGACACAATACACTAAAGCACATTCTATTACATTTCCTTTTGCCTGATCAGCAGTTGCCAACAAACTTTTGAATATAACTTTCTACCAAAATTGGTGCATTTACCATATATTTGATAAAGTACAAATACATAAAGCAGAATCTTTGCTAAATTTTTTTTTTTTTAGACAGATTCTTGCACTATCACCCAGGCTGGAGTGCAGTGGCATAATCTCAGCTCACTGCAACCTCCACCTCCCGGGTTCAAGCAATTCTCCTGCCTCAGTCTCCCGAGTAGCTGGGATTACAGGTGCCTGCCACCACGCCCGACTAATTTTTTTTGTATTTTTAGTAGAGACGGGGTTTCACTATGTTGGCCAGGCTGGTCTCGAACTCCTGACCTCGTAATCTGCCCGCCTCAGCTTTCCACAGTGCTGGGATTACAGGTGTGAGCCACCGCGCCTGGCCCTGCTTAAGTTTTTAAAGGAGTATATTGCTTTGCAATGTTTTTAGCCCATGACTTGCAAATTTCATTAAAAACACTCAAAAAATGGGCTGTAACACAGCTATGTCCAGCCATCTGAACTCGTTATCCAAACTAAAAAAGTGAATGAAGTTGAATAGCAATAATTACTTACATTTTCATCGTGTATGAAAACAAAGGTTTTGTCTAAAAGAGAGAAAATACTTAATAATTTATTTGAATTAAAATTAAGAAAAACTCTAATGTCAAAATCATTGGCTTCCCCTGAAACAGGTGCTTCTCTAAACTTTGCTATTTATAGTCAAGGCAGCGCGTGTCACTCTTCTGTTTACCGCTTCATCTCTACTTGTCGGTTTCTGTACGGTCTACCTCTGGGGTCTCAAACTCTAACGTAGGGTGTATTTCATAAATAGCCCCCCTTGAGTTGTATTCTTACCATAGGGACACTCTATTTGCATATTAAAGACTAAGAATATTCTTCACATTCTCAAAGAAAATGCCCTCCTACTACTTGGAGCCTTTCAGTCTATCTTTGGTTTTTCCACTTCTCAAAGAGACACGGATACAAGAAACGTTTCACTTTTCCTCTCACCTCTAGCAAAAGAAAAAGGGCAGTGTGAGGGAAAGGATGCAGGGCAATGGAGAGCTCAGTGTGGAGGAGGAGCGGGTGGTGGAGGAAGTGCGGGGAATTGGGGTTCATGTGTGCAGCCTAAAGGGAGCACAGCCAGCTTCCATGAGCTCAGCCAGTTACGGTCGGCCCCGTGTCACCAGATCTTCCAGTTTTTCCAGAGAATCTGGAAAAAACCCCAAGTTTCAAATGCTGGTAACTATTCCAAATTTCTACTAAATATCATGAAAGCCAACGCTGTGCACACTACACAGTTCCAGCCCACCCACCTGCCAGTTGCAATGTGTGCTGGGGCCCTTCTCTCCTGTTTATTCTAACTTTCCCCTTCACTACTATCTACGTATCAGCAAATCTTTCCCTTCCTTTATTTATTCCTTCCTTTGTTATTTCACTCATTAATTTACACACTCATTTATTATTTCTCAGTCATTTAATTATCCAACAAATATGAGATAAATGCGTGTATCAGGCACTAATAGACTACTAGGTGTAGAATATGCAATGATGAACTGGACAGACAACGTCTTTCTCATGGCATTAACAGTTAATGGGGGTGACAGGCCTTAAAGAAAAAAATACATCAAAGATCATTTCATTTCAGTTGTATTAGGGCTACAAAGCATAAATAGAAAGGAACCAGTCTTGCTTGGTTAGGGAGGGCTCATCAGAGAAGCAACATTTCAGGGCCTCTGGAACTCTACTGTGTGGGCCACTACCATACTGCCCAAGACAGTCTCTATTTGAGATAACCCACTGCCTCGGAAGAGCGTGTCCCAACCCCACTATGCGAGACTGAACAGGCTCTCGCTGCCGCTGAATTCAGAACAAGTTCAGTGTGAAGTTCACGGCCTCTCTAAACTGGCTTCTTCTTACTTCTAGCACTGCTGCTTCCCTCTGCGGCCCTTGTTTCCAAGTACACTGGACTCTGCTCCAACTCAGACGCACCGTGAAACTTCTCAGACACCCTGACCCAGATCTGCTCTCTGTTTTCCAGATACCTACAATACCGTAAAATATTCTCACACTTACTGTAGGTTATCTCACGTTATGTATCTCTGAATACTTGTCTTATGTCCCTTATGTCCCCCGAGAGACTGTAAGCCCCTGAAGGGGAGGATCTATATCCCAGTCATTTCAATATCCACAGAACTTCCAAGCAAAATAATACATATTTCTTAAACATGGGCTAAATAAAACATATTTATGTCTGCCTGGAAAAGATGATTAAATTCAAAGGAGAAGACCAACACTTTGATCTTTCCTTTAACTGTAGTCTCCTGAAAATCGTGCTTCTATAATTCTAATTTTTCATATATGGTGCAATGCTAAACTGCATCAGCTAAGCAATTCCAAAGATGAACTAATCAAAACATTTCCTTGTTTTATAGGTAAGAAGTTATTTCCTAAGATAAAAACATATTAAATCACAGGCTTACAATACAGTTAAACACCGTTGTCCTTATTAAAAATTTTAAATTTTGCTAAATACCATTTCCTCACTAAAAGGAGGTGAGCTTCCTGGAGAAAGAGTTGCTTCCAAGGCTGAGACAAGGAAAGGAAGTACACAGTGAGCCTGGGGCTTCTTGTGCCAGAAGAGTAAGAAAATGTTCAAAAGCTGAGATGGACACTTGTCAAAGGACACAGGGGTCACCTGTAGGGGCCTCTCATTTGTCAAATTTGGGACAATTTGAGCAGCAGCATACATGATGACAGAAATGGATTATTACATTTTTGTGAGATAGAGTCTTGCTCTGTTGCCCAGGCTGAGAGTGCAGTGGCACAATCACCACTCACTGCAGCCTCGACTTTCTAGGCTCAAGCGATCCTCCCACCTTACTCTCCTAAGTAGCTGGGAGCACGGGTGTGTCACCATGCCAGGATAACTTTTTCTTTTCTTTTAAGAGATGGGGTCCTACTATGTTGTCCAGGCTGGTTTCAAACTCCTGGGATCAAGCAATCCTCCTACCTCGGCTTCCCAACTAGCTGGGACCATAGGTGAGCACAAGCATGACTTTATTATTTTTAAACATTAAATAAAAAAAAAACCTGAGTCTATTCTAACCACTAAAAAAGGGTACAGAAGTGGAAGAGAGACAATTCTTTTTTTCTTAAATGGAAGAATTTCAATACAGAAGTGATAGAAAATCAACATTCTACAGCCACAAGTATAATAACTGACAAGAATCATCAATAAATGCTAAATGAACGCGGAGGATCAGAACATTTGCAAAGTCTCACAGTATCACTCAGCCTATTACTCATTAATTATAAAGGGAGAAAGTGACCTTTACATGAAAAACATCCGATAGACACCATCTGAACTACACAGTCATCCCCCAGCACCCAGAGAGCCTGACATTATACGCCTCCTGATGTAACACACTGAAAAGGAAACAACAGCACCTATGAAAACCCTGAGAAACGTTTTTCCCCTGAGTTTCGTCATGAGAAAACAACCACACGCAGTCAATATTGGCCCGGACTCTTAATAACATCTCCTAAGAAAAGATTCTTTTTTTATTATTTTTTTTTAAGACAGAGTTTCGCTCTTGTTGCCCAGGCTAGAGTGCAGTGGTGCAATCTCGGCTCACAGAAACCTCTACCTCCCAGGTTCAAGTGATTCTCCTGCCTCAGCCTCCCGAGTAGTTGGGATTACAGACATGTGCCACCAGGCCTGGCTAATTTTGTATTTTTAGTAGAGACAGGGTTTCTCCATGTTGGTCAGGCTGATCTCGAACTCCCGACCTCAAGTGATTCGCCTGCCTCAGCCTCCCAAAGTGCTGGGATTGGATATGTCCAAACTGAATATTGGACAGTGATGTTACATCAATGTTAAAGTCCCTAAATATGTTAATTGGTGGTTATGGAGAAGAAATGTCCTGGTTCTAAGAAAACACACACACTGACGAACGTGGGGTGCGGAGTTAGTGTCTGCCAGTACTCTCAGTGGTTCCGAACATAAAGTCTGGAGGAGCGTCCACGTGCACACACAAATCTGTCAGTTCAAAGGGAAGAAAGCCAATGTGGCAAAATGATAAGATTATCAAATTTGGAATATACCTTCCAAAACATAGGAAGGAAACATCCACAAAATATCAGAAAGAAAGGCAATGAAAATACCTATTTTCTGAAAAAACAAAGTTATTTAAATGTGACCGTCACAGCCTTAGTCATTCAGCTGTAAAGTGCTTTTAATACCATTGTATTTCTGAAGCGTCTTAATATAAAATATTAATTTAAGAAGTTTACTGGGTATTCCCAACACATTTTAGATGTTAATTCCAACACTAAATACACAAAATAACTGTGCTCAATGCACACCTCACAGTGAGTCTAAAATATAACAAGCCATTGAATTCAAAGATCATGGGAAAAAAGCTGATGGCCAAATGGAACTGGCCATCTAAACAGCCACACATAATACTGTTTTCTACTCAAGCCCAATTTCAAAGGAAAGTAGTTTTCAATGGTTGGTTGGTCAAAAACAACATTAAATAGCAAGCACTAAAAAGTTAATTGAATGTTTGCCAGAAAGAGTAGAACTTGTTTTCATACTGGATAATTAATTTCTTTGTTTTTATAAGAATTTTAAAGAGTGACCAACATGCACCCTGTGGGTAATTAACTTCATTTGAGAAAGACCCTTTACTTCTGTGGCATGGACTACGCAGAGGTTTGGAAACATTCCAAGAATGTATTTATGTATTTTAAAGTTTTCTTTTTAAAGTATTTTCTTCATCCAAAGGATATGCATTATAGTTTTATGTTAGTTAAACTTAATTACAAATAGCTTTAATAAAATCATTGACAGCCAACACCTAGATAAGTCCCCATAAAAGATACAGGTTTATAATATGAGGGCATTTAAAAATAAATTATAATCAAATGCAGTGGATCTTAGTAGCTTCAAATGTGTAACCAGAAAACTAATTTTTGGATGATCACCACAAGCACACCAGAAGAAATTATAAATATCTACATACACCGCTACTTCAAGAAGCACCCATTTAAAAAATAATTTAAAAGATTAATATGGTATCCTAAACGTGAATTGTTTTGTGATAAATTTATTATGATTTTTAAAAAGTTTTATGATCTGCTAATGTAGGAGAAAATCCATGTGCTTCTAATCAAAATCTTTACCTTCTTAATACGAAGCCTAAAGAGCAAAAAGTTCAGTAAAACAGTGAAACACTACCCTACCCTATACCTTCCTTATGTAACCTCCCCCCAAACTGGGGAAACTGCTACTTAAATGTGTTTTAGAAATAAAAATTTTTATAAAAATAGTTTTTCTATAGTAATTAAAAGAATCTGAATCATTTCATAACTTTCTACCTTTTCCTAGTTGAGATTCGATTTCATGCCCCACATTATAGGGGCACAGGAGTTTTCAATGATGCCAGCATTGGTGTGTGCTTGTTTTCTTGGCTCCTTTCAGGACCACACAATAGTGGTTGGATAGCTGGGCCTCTGAGCTCTCTCCAGCCATCCACCGAGGAGTAGCAGTCATGTACAAAGCTGTCACCCATTTTATCTCCAATTTCAGGCTACCAAAACAATTCCAAACCCAAGAAATAACACATTATCATATGTTTCCTTATAAGAATGATTTTGAAACAAATGCCTCCATTAAAAGTATAATTTATCAATAATTGCTACAAAACACTATTTGTATTCTTCTTCATTTCTTGACTTTTTTAAAGAATAGAAGACTTATTTTGGCAATAAGAAATAACAGAGAAAATGGTAGGAAGTGGCTAAACTATGATGTTCAAAGCCTTAGGAAAAGGCAAAAGTACTGGTATAACTATTCTAAGTTGTAGCAGTCAGTGGATTTTATACCATTCGGTGTAAGCTTTACACCATTACACAGGATGGATATCTTTTCAATATATTTTAACAGACATGTAATGGGGAGGCAAATAAGAAGGGAGTTGGATATGAGTGGACGCCGCCTAACATGTCCACTGAGGAAAACGAGGGGAAAGGCAATCTTCACTGTAGTTCAAAAGATACTTGCCTTTAAAAATCACCATAACCCCATAATCTAGAAAAGTCACTAATATTGCAGTTTACATTTTCTTAGTATTTTTCTGTGCACGTGTATATTCATTTCCCTACATAATGGAAATCATACTAAACAGTTTTGTTTATTTTTACAACATACTATAGAGCACATCCCTAACGTGATCTTCAAAAACATGATTTATTTAATGAGCACTCAATAGTCTATCATATACATAAATCATTTTATTTAGTAATATGTTTACTGTGAACATCTAAGCTTTTCCTCTGATTTCTTCCTTTGTGTTCTTCAGTATCAACGGGAATGGAAGCTTCCTGAGCACAGACTGTCTTAACCTTCCAGTACCAAGCACAAAGCTGCACATGGAATATAAATAGAAAGCAATGTTCTAGAAGATGGAGAAGGGGTGAATGGCTGGGTTTAACTGTAGAGGGAAAGAAACACTGCAAAGAGAAATGCAAATGTGTAAGTAAACTGCTCCTCAGGACAGAATCATGGAGGAGTCTGGGGATCAGAGGCGCCAGGTCCCTGGGAAGATGGACATGGGACTTGCTGAATGTGTGTGCTGGAAGCCAGCCACCCAGATGACCATCACAACCTCAAGTAGCCAGGCAGCGATTCCTTCTTCCCTTGGGCAGAAGACATCTGGGGAAGGGAAGGAGGCAGGAACAGATGGATGGAGGGACCGAATGAGAACGGCTCCAGATCGAGGGAGACTGCGCACAGGCAAGGATGTAGGTGAGGCCCAGGATCGAAAATCGCAATATTGAGTAAAGCTTCAATCTGATCAACAAAAATATCAACCTTCTAATGCCAGTCTCTTAAATGCTCTCTTAAAAATGCTAGCAGCCGGTTACAAGAATCCCTCCCTTCCAGGTAGATTGGGGGAATCTCACCTAGAATAAAAGAAAAAACCTATGGGAACTGACATTAATGGTTTTTAAAGAAAAGGCCAATTCCCAGTCACCCTGAAGTTCAACGCACCACTTGCCATCCCTGACAGTACGCATGAAACTTTCACTTGGTTTTTGAGTGCCTCACTCGCAAGTCTGAAACCACACCCAGCAATCCACAACATTTGAGATCATCTCCACCAAAAGAGAAAAAAAAAACTCAAAGAAAACAAAGACAATTTAATAAGACAGTTTCAAAAAACAACACAATATTCTCAGAGTGAAAGGAAAAAACATTAATTGTCTGAAGAGCTTAAAGAGAGTCTACCTCTTTCTTTCTGCTTTTGCACAGCGGTTTTATAAGAACCCAGTGCTTGAAGAGCTTCAGACATCTTACAACTGAGGGGGAGAGAGAGGCTGTCACACACCAAGAAAAGTAAGGAAGAAAGATGGAAGAGTTCGATTTTTTTTTTTTTTTTTTTTTTTTTGAGACAGAGTCTTGTTCTGTCGCCCAATCTGGAGCGCAGTGGCGTGATCTAGGCTCACTGCAACCTCTGCCTCCTGGGTTCAAGTGATTCTCCTGCCTCAGCCTCCCAAGTAGCTGGGATTACAGGCACCCGCCATCATGCCCAGCTAATTTTTGTATTTTTGTAGAGACGGGGTTTCACCATGTTGGCCAGGCTGGTGTCGAACTCCTGACCTCAGGTGATCCACCCACCTTGGCCTCCCAAAGTGCTGGGATTACAAGCATGAGCCACCCCACCCGGCCTAAGAGTTAGATTCTTCATGACACTGTTGAGTCCCTGTGTCAATTTTGGGAACATAAATTCCTCAGTCCTATTTACGTTTAAAAAATGAATTATTACTGTTGAAGCCATTTGTACTTCCATATTCTATTACTTGGAGTTGAAAGCATACCAGTTGATACAGAAGGGTTGATAGATAAAATCAAGAAAAGCTTTTGAAAAGAATAATAAAAGGCAAAGACATAATAAAAAGAGAAAAAAATAAGAATATTAAAAGTTCAAGAGATTCAACATCCAACCAATAAGAATTCCAAAAGAGAAAATAGGGACCGGGTGTGGTGGCTCATGCCCATAATCCCAGCACTTTGGGAGGCTGGAGATGGGAGGATCGCTCGGCCCTGCAGTTGAAAACCAGCCTGGGCACCAAAGTGAGACCCTGTCTCTACAAATAAATCAAAAAGTTAGCCGGGCATGGTGGCACACGCCTATGGTCCCAGCTACATGGGAAACTGAGGCAGGAGGCTCGCTTGAGCCCAGGAGTTTGAGACTGTAGTGAGCTGTGTTTGCACCACTGCACTCAACCTGGGTGAGAGTCTCAAAAAAAAAAAAAAGAAAGAAAGAAAGAAAGAGAGAGAGAGAGAGAATAGGAACTAGGAGAAAGGAAGTTATGCGAAAATAAAACAGGGAAACTTCTAAGAACCGAAGGGTATGGATTATCAGATTAAAAGAGCCCATCAGTTGCCTTAGCGGTACCATGAAAAAAACAAAACACGCATGAAGGCAAATCACAGTGAAATTTTAAAACATGGCTATAAAGAGAAGAATCTAAATTTGCTAGAGAGAAAACTCTGACAGTATACATAGGATTGGGATTCAGAACGGATCAGAATTTCTCAAGTATACTACTCAATGCTAAAAGATAATGGAATAATTTGCTCAAAATTCTACTGGAAAGTAAATATCAACATAAAGTTCTTTATTCAGTCAAATGAGCTGTGGTAGCCAGAATGATAAAAGTGACCCCCCGGCGACCTGGCTTAAGTGTGATCCCGTCCTCTTTGGGTGTGGGTAGACCCTGCAAAGACAATAAGGTGGTGCTCCCAGGATGATGATGCACAAGCGAGACTTGCCAAGCGGGCCTGATCTCTTCACGTGAACCTTTTAAGTGCAGAGTCTTCCCTGGCTGGTAGCAGAAGAAGAAGTTGGGGATTCAAAGCATGAGGATTTGACAAGTCACTGCTGGCTTGAGGATGGAGGGACCATGTGGTCAAGAATGTCGGCAGCCTCTGAAAGGTGAGCACAACTGCTGGCTCACGGCCAGCCAGGAACAGGTACCTCAGTCCTACGGATGCAAGGAACAAAAATCTACCAATAAAGAAGGTTGGAAAAGGGCCTTCCAACTGGGCTGACATCTGGGCTCGACTGGGCTGACATCTGACTTTGGCCTTGTTAGACCTTAAAGAGAGAATCTAGATGAACCACAATGAATTTCTGTCCTACAGAAACTGTTGAAAATAACTCAGTGTTGTGTTAAGCTGCTAAATTTGTGGTAATTTGTCATGTGGTAGTAGAAAACTACCACACTTATTAATCAAGTATTTTGCTATTATATATGTTCCTCTTTTCCTAAAAGCTCAATACTGAAGGAAAAAGTATCTATTTTATGAAAGACCTCTGTCCCACTTACTGCAACTTAGCTAAATCTGTCCCCAAATGCGACTGTCGAATGAGAGGTTACAGAATGTGGCATGCACGCTGTGTGGGGCTATGGCAACTAGAGATCTATGAAGCAAACATTCCCAGCTGGCTGAGTGGGTGGCAGGAAGTGGCTGGTGACAAGTGGTGGTCTCAAAGACAAAGTTGAAAAGCCTCCTCCTGTCCTTCTCCCTTGTCGTAGGACCTCCTCCAAGTTCCTGGGAGTAGTTGCACAGGACAGCATTAGAACTTACAACCATCCCCAGAATGAAAACGGTTCTGGCAAGAATTGGTTTTGGTCTACGTTTTCCCCCCATTCACGGAGTCACAAGAGTAAAGATCTGAGAAAAAGAATATAGAGAAGGGTTATTATTTTATTAGAAAACTGAAAGGTTCAAACAGAGTTGTTTTTACCTTACTAGCATACACAATAGAACAAGGTTCCAATATTTCATTTCAGGGCTTGGTAAACTGAGGCCCAGGGACCTATCAGCAGCAACCGATGCAGTTACTTCAACTATCATTGGTAACCCACTCCTTTTCCTTCTCTGAATTCTCCTATTCCATTCCCACTCCTGCTACTCATATATATTTTACTATTTATACTATTTACAGTCACTGGCCCAACTTGGAATTTCCACCCCCGCATGGTCAGCTTCGGTGTTCACTGAAGGCACTTGATTCCTGTCACGTGATAACTAGGCGCAGGGGTGGGGAGAAAGCAGCCCTGACATTGGTGAATGCCTACTGAACGCCAGAAAAACTGCGCACATTTTCTCACTTTATCTTCACTTCACCCCTAAGAAACAGATACTGTCATCCTCATTTTGTAGATGAGAAAGCAAAAATTCTATAACTGTAGATAGAGGCCACACAATTAGTGGAAAAAAATGTGTGCAATGGAAAGTCTCATTCCAAAGCCCAGGCCCTTTTCAATTAGAATCATGCCCCAATTTCCCAAGACTCAACCTGGAGCCCTCTGCTTTTACCCATTTCCTTGTGATTATAAATAAGACTCTTATACTTATGACCAAAAGTCTTACTGACAACTCAGCAGCATAGATGTGGCAGGCCAAGGTGTTCGTGCCAGGACCATGATGTCAGTAAGAAAGTGTGATGCATTGGTTTCAAGAAAAGCATTGTCTGTCTTCAAAATGCTTAAAAACAGAGCCGTGGGATGTCTAAGGAAGAGATAAGAACTGTCTGCTGGCTTCAGAAGAGAAATAATTGTCACAAAATATAAATTTAATGGGAAACTGAAGCCATTGCTGTACAGATACAGCAAAGGATTTTCCAGAAAAGTTGAAATCACTGAAACAGAAGGCACTCATGCTCTAGGCAGATGTCCAATGGGCCAATAAAAACAAGGGGTTAGGACTCACTAAAGCTGTTATCAAGTTACCAAGGAAATTGCCCCTCATTTAGGATTTACCTTTCAAAGAGAGGCAGACTGTAATCCCAGCACTTTGGGAGGCCGAGGCAGGCGGATCACCCAAGGTCAGGAGCCTGGCAAACATGGTGAAACTCTGTCTCTACTAAAAATACAAAAATTAGCCAGGAATGGTGGTGGGCACTTGTAATCCCAGCTTCTGAGGAGGCTGAGGCAGGTGAATTGTTTGAACCCAGGAGGCAAAGGTTGTGGTGAGCCAAGACCATGCCACTGCACTCCAGCCTGGGTGGCAGAGTCTCAAAAACCAAAAATCCACAACAACAACAACAAAAAAGGGAATTAGAAGCTTGAGCACATCAAATAAAAAACAGAAGAGCAAAAGTTGGAGGCATCTTCAGTCAAAACACCATCCATCCTGTATTTAAATAAAGTCTTAGCCTACACTCCAGCCCAGGGGAAAGCATACTAAAATAGTTCCATTAGTTCTGTTAAATATTTGATTTTATTTATTTAACAAACATATATAAAATTTTCATAGATGATTTTGGCATTTATAGTAAGTGTTCAATAAATATTAATTGGCTAAAAAAATGAACAGAAAATAGGTTCCCAGAAAATGAATTCCAACTTCAAACAATGACCAATTAAAAATCATTGTTCTACTTTTAACAGTTCAACCACCTAGGTCCAGTCACCATCTAGGAATCGATCAGGTCACTGACGCATCACACTACACTTGCTAGGATGAAGACATGGATACCACCTCTCCACCAGTGACCTAACTTCTCCAAACCAGATGGCGCTGAGACGTAATGCAGGCAACGAGTACTTGATGGATTTTGATGTTCTGTATAATACTTGTCTACCTTAGGTGGTAATTTTTTTCACGTTTGCTCTGTGACCAGCTATGTTCCCTGAGGGCCGACTGTCCCTGCTGACAGTAACTCCGTCATGGGAGAATTTGTATTGCTTAGGGGTAGGAGAAGTGGAAAAAATGTGCCACATTCCTAAGTCAAATACAGAGAGGGACTCTAACTTTGGATTACAAACCCCTGCTTCCATTAGAATGGCTAACTGTCAACTGAGAGCTTACTGCAAGACAATATAAAAGGCGAAAAGAAAAAGGATAATTTTAGTACTAATAAAACAAAATGTGCAATTCCTTTGATGATACAGGGTAGAAGACTACAGCTGGAGTAACTTGAGTTTTGTACCTACTCTGCTGGCGAAAACATTAAGTTAAAGAAGGGAGAAGAGAGAAACAGACTGGTTCTGCCTCTTTCTGTGTTTCTTAAGGGGTCTTTTGAGAAGGATGATGAAATGAATATGGGTATATAGAAATATTAAAGGAGGTGGTAATTAAGAGGATCAATTTATGTAAGAAGGATCCTAATAAAGATAAGAAAATAGCTGATAAAATATTGATACGGGCAAAACAGAGGTGAAAAGCTGAAGAAGGAAGGGCAGGGGAAAGAGGGAACCTTGGTGAGCATACACAGATAGGCCAGGCCTACGCTAGAAGCAAAGGGATGATAAGAAGGAACTGGCAAGAGTCAGGGCAGAAGACACTTGGACGGATCTCGCTACGGGAGTGAAAAAGATGGGACAAAACATGAGGTGGAGCAACTAGCTACAGCAACAAAAGCCACAGACAGGCAAAGCACAGAGAGAAAAATACCTGAGGATATGAATGTTTGGTACAGTAAGAGGAAATCTTATAAGGGATTCTGATGGGTCACGACGTAGACAGAACTTGCAGAAATTTACAAATTGCATGGCTCCTCCCTGCTTCTTCTCTGTTTAACTGATCCTAAAAGCAACGTATCTTTTAAGTGATAAACTTACCAAATCCAAAGGCACAGATTTAAAAAAAAGTTTCTCTATTAGGCTTGTACTAATTCATCATTAGTAACTGATTATTAAATAACAAAGCTTTCTTTCAGGAATCTAGGGCTTTACATCATTCTTTTAAAAGATACTAAGTTCTAGAAGTAATCTGCAATTTTCCCAATATATATCCCAAATACTCAAAGACTGTATGTTAAAGTCTTTTTATAAAATAAATTTTAAGAAAATATATTGAAGCTGGGCACGGTGGCTCACGCCTATAATCCCAGCACTTTGGGAAGCCAAGGGGGGTGGATCAACGGAGGTCAGGAGGTGGAGACCAGCCTGATCAACATGGAGAAACCCCATCTCTACTAAAAATACAAAAATTAATGGGGTGTGGTGGTGCATGCCTATAATCTCAGCTACTCAGGAGGCTGAGGCAGGAGAATCACTTGAACCCAGAAGGCAGAGGTTGCAGTGAGCCAAGATCACACGCCATTGCACTCCAGCCTGGGCTACAAGAGAGAAACTCCGTCTCAAAAAAAAAAAAAAAAGAAAAAGAAAAGAAAATATATTGAAATAATGAATCACTAGTTCTGTTTCGGATTCTTGGAAATTTCAAAGTAAAGATGGATAGATAGACTAACTGACCAACTAACTGGCTGACCAACCAAAAATACTGTTGGAATTTTTCTAAGAAACAGTGTGTTTCAAAAACCAACCCAAACTTTACAGCAGAACTGATAGAGATAATAAATATTTTCATTTTATAATTTGACAATATATTCTATTTTACCAGTTTAAGATTTACTATGTTAATATATTGAAAGATATAAAATGCTATATGCTGCTTTTTAAAAAATCATCACATCTTATTGTAACAGAAGAAAAACTAGAGCAACCCAGCAAGTTTTCAATTGCTTTTTGACTATGTTTACAAAATTTTGTAATCAAGTAGAACAAAGAAAAGTACATTATGGTTCTTTCTTATGAAATCTGTACTTGAAGAAAGGAACATACATTCCATGAAGCTGAAAGCTCCTCAGCAGCTCACCCACACTGAGCATGCTTTCTAGCCCCCAACAGGCAGCACATGCTAAATCTGCTTATTGATCTTTTCAGTTAGTTCAATAATCTATTTCCTAGCCAAGTCCTTATGAAATAGACAAAAGAGCATAGAAAATTTGAAACTCTTCCAGAAAGAAGCTAAGGAGCAAAATAAGCATTCATAATATGCATCTGAATTTTGTAATGCATAAAGTTGTAAATACACTAATTACTCAATAAATATTTAATAAATGAATAATTAAACATCTGGGTTTTGAAATTAAATTTTTAAAAGAAGAAAATCTATCTGTTAATGAAAATTGGTCATAAGTTAACTATCAGCAAAAGTCATTCACTGTTACAATTTATATACATATTGTAATACTATATAACACTATTGTACTTGAGTTAACAAGCAAAGTAGATACTCCATTTATATTGGCAATGTTCCACAAACAACAAAGCTAAGTCCGGTAGATACAACATTTTCAAGATGCATGTAAACTATTTAGATGAATTCTTTCTGCTGACAATCCCAGAGGAGAGAAGAGAAAATGATGTGTTTTACCCTAAGAGCTCAAAGCTCTCCTGGGAGGTAATTCAATTGAAATTTTACATTCAGTCTAGCCAGGCAGTGATAAACAGATGCTTAAATTAGCTGCCTTATACCATAATCAAATATCTTAAGAAAAAAGTTTCTAACAAAAACATAAGAAGGTAAAGACAGAAAACAGGGAAAATAAAACATTTTTTAAAAGGTTACTGGTATCTTCAGAAAAAACTGTTTTCAAAAAATTTGCTGTAAGTGGTATGCCATAGGACTTAACCATGCCTTTCAATACATTTATTGCTTAGTTTGGACCATAGTGCAAGTTAGCACACAAATAGTCATTTAAAAATAACTACCTTTTTCATATTAAGTTTTTTAAAAATGATATAATTTATAGGTTTTTTTAAAAAGTGGCTATATGCACAAAATTTAACTTGTATCTGTGTCTTTTACTATGTACACCTTAATCATTCCTGAAAGTACCTCAAGGTAAAAGCAAATAAATCAATAAAAGATGAAGGCTGAAACAGACTCAGAAAATTACTCCTTTATATCAAAATGGGTAAATTGTAAAATCAGCTAACAAATAATAATTATACCAGCAACCAATGGGAGATAACCTATATCAAAAACCTGCAGCCTCTGTTCAATTGACTTACTAGATTAACAAATGTCCTCTCCATTTTTCTCTAAAACACATCTGCTGTCACTCACTGCCTGCTGCAGACATGCAAAGGGCGGGGCCCCAATTCAACGCTTCCATGTGTACTGGCATCCGCAAGTTCAGCTACATGCTTAGCAAAATTCAGTTACGCTGTTCTCAAACTAGTTTTTCCCAGCTGGACTTGTTACTGTAATTGTGTTACTTAATTAAATATTAACCAAGGAAATATGAATGTAAAAAGAGACTTATTTCTAAGGAAACCTAAATCGAAAGCTTTGGAAAGAGTTGATATAGACTAATCACTTGGGAAAAAAATGTATGACGTAGGTGTGAGGAAGTATCTTAAAAATAAACCAAAAGAATTAGAAGTTAAAATTTGAAGAATTCTGCACTGATTGCTTTGTAAGCTTTTAAAGTTCTAATTTCACTTAAAAGAAACTGAAACTGGAGATCATAGATGATATGCTAGAATGTGTTTTATGCAAGAAAAGCAAGGTTAAATTCTAATCAGACAATCAACACTCACAGAAAGAGTCTTGACTGTACTGAAAAGATAGATGAATGCACATATTTATACATCTTAAAACAAAATGCATAAAGTTTTCGTAATATGAATCTTTTCTTCTTTAAACAATTGCATGCTTAAACTTCTTTTCTGCGATTAACCAACTCTAATAGGATAAGAGGCTTCTACTCTACTATGATGGAACGTAGACTACAAACACAAGCTGCTCACTACCCAGTGGGCAAGACAATTTAGCATGATAAAGGGCTATACCAAGAGCATCCAATTAGGCTTGGTACCTGGGAGAGGCTAAGGAGAATCTGAAATGAACTGAATCTTAAAAGGGATACAGAAGTTTAGCAGGCAGATAAGAAGAGATGGTCCTTCCAAGCACAGAAAAGAAAGGCAGGCAGGTGAGAGCCATGGTGAATTTCAGCTGGCTGCAGTCTGGTGAAAAAGAGAAAAGTCCCAGCGAAGTGACTGAGAGTGAAACTGGGCAGAAGCCGGTTCATGAAAGGTCTTACCTGCCATGGCCAAGTGTTTGATTTTTATCTGGAAGTCAAAATAACTGGAAAAATTATAAATACAGCAGTAACCAAATAGATTTCTGTTTCAGAACTGTTGCTCTGGCAGCAGGATGGAAGATAAACTAGAGGAGGGAGGAAAACGACACTGGAAGAGGGTGTAACTGAAAATTCAAAATCCAAATGAGAACAGGACCTGTGGCATTAGAAAATAATATGAATTTAATATTTAGGAGGTACAACTGACAGGAATTAAAGGCAGCTGATGAGATGAGTGTGAAAGAGAAACAATTAAGAGGCCACCCAGGCTTTTACCACAAGAAACAAGACACAAGACGAGGCTATTTCACAAGATAGGGATATAGGACAGGACCAGGCCAATGGAAGAAATAATTAATTCCTTCTTGGGAAGAATAACTAAGAGGTGGAATTTGCCCAGTAAGCCACTGAATATGAGTCTGGACCTCACAAAAGAGGTCAAGGCTTGAGGAAGGGACAGGAGGCATACATTAGCCCTGCCCAAGAGTGGTTAAAATCAAGGTTCCTGGAGTCAGAGTGGTTGTGAATCCAGTCTCTGCCATTTACTACCTCTGTGACCAAGGGCCAATTATTTACCTTCTTTCTGCCTCTGCTTCCTCATCTGTAACAGACAGATGTGAATAGTATTTGCCTTACAGGGTTGTTGTGAAGATTAAATGAGTAGATGTGAAGTGTTTACAACAGTGCCCGGCATGGAGCATGTTTTACTGAATATTAGTTGTTGTTGCTTTTGTTATAACCAAAGATATCTGTACAGCTGAGATCATTCCCCAAATGTGGAGAGTGAGAAGAGAATCAAAGACAAAACCCTAGCAATACTAAGATTTAAGAGGAGGAAAACGCAAAGGCTGGAGCAGAAGAAGGAACAGTACTGTCATGGAAGGCAAGCAAGTCTGCAGTTTCAGAGAAGGGAAAAGTCAGTAATGTCGACGTCCACAAGGATATGAAGTAAATAAAGTTCTGAAAGTGTGGATTCGAACTGGGAACTGGAGATGTTAATAAAAAGCAGCTCCAATATCCCACGTGTAGAAAAAAAAAGTGCCTCAACCATCCTGTCTATGTATCCTTATAAATTATAGCCTATGCTGCAATCACGGGCTAATCTCTCAAGACACAATATACACCGGAGGAAGTGTGCATACACCAACAGTAGAGAAGAAAAACTCTACTTCAAATAGTTTTACTTAGAGCCTTGAATCTGGCAGGCCAACTTCTTGTTAGGTGAGATGAGACAGTCATCTTAAAAGCACAACGTG